>NC_000002.12:27979122-28131872 GCF_000001405.40 Homo sapiens | reverse complement strand
TTGTTTCATTAACTCTTTGCTCATCACCAAAGCACCTTTGTAATTTAACTCATTAGTTACACAATGAGTGGCTACGCTAGAACTGGTACTTGCTCCCTTATTTACCCATCCTCTCCTTTTCTGCCCCAACTTATCCCTGCTAAACACTCACTCGTTCTTCTCCTATGAACTGTATCAATAATAATAATATTCATGGCTATTACTTGCTGAGTGTTTACTGTAGTGCCAGGCACTGTGATTAATGCTTTATGAACAGTATTAATATAATCCTGAAAACAACACTAAGAAATAGGTATTATTATGTCTATTTTATGACTGAGGAAACAAGCTCAGAGAAGTTACATTTTGTGACAGCTGGTGAGTGGCAGGAACCAGGTTTAAACTAGATCTGCTTGACTCAGAGCCCTTGCCTTATGCCACGTCATTCTACTGCCTCTGGTATCCACTGATCGCTTACTAATATGGGTCAGTATTTTCAATTAAAAAATAATAGGCCGGGCGCGGTGGCTCACGCCTGTAATCCCAGCACTTTGGGAGGCCGAGGCGGGCGGATCACGAGGTCAGGAGATCGAGACCATCCCGGCTAAAACGGTGAAACCCCGTCTCTACTAAAAATACAAAAAATTAGCCGGGCGTAGTGGCGGGCGCCTGTAGTCCCAGCTACTTGGGAGGCTGAGGCAGGAGAATGGCGTGAACCCGGGAGGCGGAGCTTGCAGTGAGCCGAGATTGCGCCACTGCACTCCAGCCTGGGCGACAGAGCGAGACTCCGTCTCAAAAAAAAAAAAAAAAAAAATAATAATAATAATAATAATAATAATAAAACACTCTTTGGGGCCAGGCACTGTGGCTCATGCCTGTAATCCTAGCACTTTGGGAGGCCGAAGCGGGCAGATCACCTGAGGTCAGGAGTTCGAGACCAGCTTGGCCAACATGGTGAAACTCTGTCTCTAATGAAAATACAAAAAATTAGCTGGGCGTGGTGGCTGGTGCCTGTAGTCCCAGGTACTCGGGAGGCTGAAACCCGAGAATCACTTGAACCCAGAAGGTGGAGGTTGCAGTGAGCCGAGATTGCACCACTGCACTCCAGCCTGGATGACAGAGTGAGACTCTGTCTCAAAACAAACAAACAAACAAAAAACAAAAAACAGAAACATTCTTTGGGAGGCCGAGGCAGCAGAATCACTTGAGCCTAGGAGTTTGAGACTAGCCTGGGCAATAGAGCGAGACCCGGTCTCTACAAAAATAAAAATAAAAACATTAGGCATGCATGGTGGCACCTGGAGTCCTAGCCACTTGGGAGACTGAGGTAGGAGGGTCACTTGAGCCCAGGAGGTCAAGGCTGCAGTGAGCCATAAGCATGCCACTACACTCCAGCCTGGGTGACAGAGTGAGACGCTGTCTCAAAACAAAAATTAAACATTCATTGAGTGTCTGCTACTGTAAAATCCTGTTCTAAGTGCTGTGTCAGATATATAAAAAGACAAGAGAATGCCTATAGATTATTGATGTTCATAAGCTCCCATATTTGAGTATAAACAGCTGTGTCATATTGGTTTTTAAGATGATGTGTCCATGATTTATAAATTAGAGCAACTAAGGTCGGAAGGGGTAAAAATGGCTCAGTATTTTTACTAAGAATGCTAGATAGTGACCACATCTACTCACAGACAGAAATCAGCCAACTGTAACTAAATGACTCACAGAGAATTTTAATAATACATTTCAATCAGAGTCTGTAAAAACTCTCTCTGCTGATGAAAAATCTGTCCTGTCAGAAGTTCCCAACCAAATCTGCTTATAATCCATTTTCAATGAACCTCAGCTTCCTTTGAAGTAGAATAAGCTACTAAAGCATTTCACCCACAATAAGCACACTGTGAATTCAGGCCTTACAAAATTCATTACTGATGAATAATGTTACTTGGTTATAACACAAATGCGATATCAAACTACTTCTGCCATGTAGCCTGAATGTTGTGTAAAATTATACGCAGCTATTTCGATGCAGCAAAATAAAACATGTTATCTTTTTAAGCTATCTACTTTTAATATTAGCTTTACTAACTTCTGAGTCAGTTTTTGCTAAATATTTTGAAGAGGCTAGTTACATTTTACAAATAACATTAATAGTTACAAATAAGTAAGAAATTGGGCCAGATGTTTAGCAGCCCACTGTAGGCTACAACCATTCGAACTCCAGGGAACATCTGGAAGGAGTCTCAATTTTGGACTCAGTCTGCCTATTCTTTTCTCTCTACAAAGGTACAGTATTCATGTCACTAAATGCACAATAACACTTGCCAAAAGGGTGTAGTGGCAAGTACTAACTGCATTTACTCTGCAATGGAAACTCTTAATATGATGAATTTTTTAAGAAAACAAAAGTCAATGAAGAGAAATAAATGTAAGAGTTCAAGAGTGGCAAAAGAAAGAATGAGACATATTGGTTAGCAAGAAGTAGCACCAGGCTACCTCATGTTAATGACACTTACTGCTCAATTCGAGGTGACAAGTACAGCTTGGGGTACACCTGGGTGGCTTCAGTGTCCTCAAAACTAACAGAGAGGAGGGCCACATCTTCTCCAGGGTCTTCATTTACATCCTTAAACAAGAAGTGAAAACACAACATCAGCACCTGTTCTCCTAACATCTTATTAGTGTCAAGCTCACAGTCCACTGGCATTGAAGCCATGACTGTGAGTTACCCTTATTCCACTTTAGCTTAGCTGCTTTGCACATCCTTTCCACACACCTACCCACTCCTCTAGAGGGATGGATTTTAAACTTTCTGAGCAAAGCCCACCACAGCAAAGCGAAAGACCTCCACCTATCTCACTTGTTCCCACATTCAGGAGGTAGGGGGCGGGTAGTGAACCTGGTGGTAACAAAGAATTCAGCAAAAATATAATTAAGTTGCAGTAAACATATTACTATAAACATAATTTACATCCTACAACATCAAAAAACATTAAAATATCCAGTAATTTTCTTACACCTACCTTGACAGTATGTTGTAAGCTATTTAAATAGCAAAAATTTGCAGGAAACATATCACCATGAAGAGTGTCACCATACAAGCAAATGACAAGGGGGTTAGGTACACATCTACTTTGGCAAAATGATAATGGATGATTCATATGTGAATCATGAGACATACATATCTTAAAAGTCTAGTTATAAGAACACTATAAGACAAAACATTGTTGATCCAAGTATGTACCAATAAACATTTGAGATTAACCAAATAACACACAATAAACTAAACTGATAATGATAAAACTAAACTTACTGTAATTTATAATTAAAAAGCAAGAATAGCAGGAACTGAATATTATAACCAACTCAAGCCAACGCTGATGATACACTGATGAAGTGTCCTGAATCAAAACTGTGGAATTTACAACTATGTGCATGTGCTTTATGATTATTGCCAAGCACCAAGTGTCTGCCAGACTTCTGAATAAAATACTGAATTAAAATAAATCTCGTGGCACACATTGATTTTAATTTGTGAATACCAAATTTTAATAACCCTTAATTTATTTTTGGTTGGTAGTGGCTCCAAGTCAAATATAAAAATTTTAAACACTTAATTACTAAACACTTAATATGTGTTAAACACTTAACATCTTTCACTCATAGAGACTGGTAAGAACGGACCTATATTTCTGGATCAGTTCATAGGTCCTTAGGAAGGTTCAGCAGCCACACCAGCAGCAAGAGAGGGAAGGGTCACACCTAGACTTTAAGACTCATTACTCGGCTGGGCGCGGTGGCTCATGCCTGTAATCCCAGCACTTTGGGAGGCTGAGGCGGGCGGATCACGAGGTCAGGAAATCGAGACCATCCTGGCTAACACGGTGAAACCCGGTCTCTACTAAAAATACAAAAAAACAAAATTAGCCGGGCGTGGTGGTGGGCACCTGTAGTCCCAGCTGCTTGGGACGCTGAGGCAGGAGAATGGCATGAACCCGGGAGGCGGAGCTTGCAGTGAGCGGAGATGGCACCACTGCACTCCAGCCTGGGCAACAGAGCGAGACTCCACCTCAAAAAAAAAAAAAAAAGACTCACTACTCATGAGCTTGACATTGTATCTTCAACCTCAAATACAATGTCTTTTGTCTGTCATGCCACCCCTTCTTTTCCTTCATCCTGGGAAGCTGGCCATCACTCATCCTGCTCAACTCCGGAACCTTCGGTCTCCTTGCTCTGCATTCTCTTGTGTGTATAAGATGGATGAGTGTGACATGTATACACAGGGACAAGAACCACAAGTCTCTCCCATCCTAAAAAAGAAACATTTTTAAAGGAAAGGAAAGAATCTTGTTGAACTCTACAGAGCTCCTTGGATTCCCTCTCCTCTCGCTCCTCCCCTTCACAGACTGCTTGGAAGAGATATCTACACACTCTCTATTCCCTTCTCTTCCACTTACCCTTAGCCCACAACGATAGCCTACTACTGACCCCACAAGTTCATGAAGACCATTCCCACTAAGGGTAACCACTAAACACACCAAATGCTTCTCTGCCCTTTTCTTACTTGATGTCTAAACAGTATTTGACATGGGTGACCACTTGCCTCTCGAAACTCTCTTTTCTTGATGGTCTTTTCTTGTCTCTTTGGCCACTTCCCTTTCCGTTTTCTTTCTTTTTTAAAAAATTAAGGACTTCATGTCTAAAATACCAAAAGCAATGGCAACAAAAGCCAAAATTGACAAATGGGATCTAATTAAACTAAAGAGCTTCTGCACAGCAAAAGAAACTACCATCAGAGTGAACAGGCAACCTACAAAATCAGAGAAAATTTTCGCAACCTACTCATCTGACAAAGGGCTAATATCCAGAATCTACAATGAACTCAAACAAATTTACAAGAAAAAAACAACCCCATCAAAAAGTGGGCGAAGGACATGAACAGACACTTCTCAAAAGAAGACATTTATGCAGCCAAAAAACACATGAAAAAATGCTCACCATCACTGGCCATCAGAGAAATGCAAATCAAAACCACAGTGAGATACCATCTCACACCAATTAGAATGGCATCATTAAAAAGCCAGGAAACAACAGGCGCTGGAGAGGATGTGGAGAAATAGGAACACTTTTACACTGTTGGTGGGACTGTAAACTAGTTCAACCATTGTGGAAGTCAGTGTGGCGATTCCTCAGGGATCTAGAACTAGAAATACCATTTGACCCAGCCATCCCATTACTGGGTATATACCCAAAGGACTATAAATCATGCTGCTATAAAGACACATGCACACGTATGTTTATTGCGGCACTATTCACGATAGCAAAGACTTGGAACCAACCCAAATGTCCAACAATGATAGACTGGATTAAGAAAATGTGGCACATATACACCATGGAATACTATGCAGCCATAAAAAATGATGAGTTCATGTCCTTTGTAGGGACATGGATGAAACTGGAAATCATCATTCTCAGTAAACTATCGCAAGGACAAAAAACCAAACACCGCATGTTCTCACTCATAGGTGGGAACTGAACAATGAGAACACATGGACACAGGAAGGGGAACATCACACTCTGGGGACTGTTGTGGGGTGGGGGGAGGGGGGAGGGATAGCATTAGGAGATATACGTAATGCTAAATGACGAGTTAATGGGTGCAGCACACCAGCATGGCACATGTATACATATGTAACTAACCTGCACATTGTGCACATGTACCCTAAAACTTAAAGTATAATAATAATAAAATAAAATTAAAAAAAAATTTTAGATTACAAAATTTAGGCTTGTCTTAACAAGTCAAACCATACAGAAATTTATAAAGTAAAAGCTCTTCCACC
The DNA here is from genome assembly GCF_000001405.40 of Homo sapiens. Lineage (NCBI taxonomy): Eukaryota > Metazoa > Chordata > Mammalia > Primates > Hominidae > Homo > Homo sapiens. The sequence continues at coordinate 28,126,053 of NC_000002.12, read as the reverse complement.
CCTCTCTCACCCCCACTTTTCAAGGTAACCAATATTAACTGTGTGTGTAGGTAGCTTCAAACTACTTTCTTTATGCTCATAAAAACATATACACATTTGCATATAAACAGCTCTTTAACCTTCTGTTTTGTTTTCCCTAAAGGAATCATATCGCTCTATCAACTGCTTTTTAAATAGCCACATAATATTCCATGGCATGGATTTATTTTTTATTAAACCATTTCCTTAGCAACAAACTTCAGGTTGTTCACAATTCTTGGCCACTTGATAGTGCTGCAATAAATATTCTTTTGTGTGTGTATGCTTGTCTCAGTGTATGTACATTTGTGTGTGTGCATTTGTTAGTAGTGGAACTTATATTTTTAAATAGAGAATTAAAACTGAGCTTCTTGGGTCAAAGGTTATGAACATTTTACATTTCAAAAGAATTTGACAGATTATTTTCTAAAAATTTTGCAACAGGCCGGGCGCGGTGGCTCACACCTGTAATCCCAGCACTTTGGGAGGCCGAGGTGGGTGGATTACCTGAGGTCAGGAGTTCAAGACCAGCCTGGCCAACACGGTAAACCCCATCTCTACTAAAAATACAAAAATTAGCCAGGCGTGGTGGCACATGCCTGTAATCCCAGCTACTTGGGAGGCTGAGGCAGGAGAATTGCTTGAACCCGGGAGGCGGAGATTGCAGTGAGCCGAGATGGTGCCACTGCACTCCAGCCTGGCTGACAGAGTGAGACTCTGTCTCAAAAAAAATAATAATAATAAAATAAAATAAAAATAACAAAATAAAAAAATATTTGCAACAATTCACATTTGGACCTGTGAGTTTGTATAAGCCTGCTTCCCCTCATCCTGAATCACTGGATAACACTGGCTGTTACCACTCTTTAAAATCTGGAAAATGGTATCTCCATTTAGATTCAATGAATGAGGCTGAGCAACTTTTTACTTATTTACTGGTCATCTACATTTCTTTTGTAAATTTCCTGATCAAATCCATTATCCATCTTGCTTTAAGGTTCTTAGTCTTTGTTGTCGTTGTTCATTGAGTTTCTTAATCTTTTTCTGTCACATGTGCTAAAGTTATTTTCTCTTTTTGACTTTTTACTTCATTTGAGGGCTCTTCTGCCATCACAGAAAATTTAGATTTTTGCAGAGTTAAATCCGGTCAATAACTCTGAGATTCTATAACTGCTTCTCTAGTTTTTCATCTTATATTGTTATAATTTTATTTGTACATTGTAGATTTGCAATACCTCTGGAATATATTTTTAGGTGGCATGATATAAGAAGTATAGCTTTGTTTGGTCTTGTTCTGTTTCTAACTGGGTGAGGAGGGGGATAAGTGGGTAAGAGCAGGATCTTAGCACAGTATCTGGCATATGGAAACCACTCAATGTTAGCTGAATGAATAAATTAGTGAACAAAGGGAATGTTCCTCCCTAATTTTTATTCTCTACATCTAGAGATTTTTCAGGAACCTACTTTACAAATTTTTTTGTCACCAATAATGTCTAGAAACTAAATGCTGGCTCCCTGCTCCTGGCCTTGTTAATACACCAAGTCCTCCAGAACTAGTGACTTTAAAAGGAGAGCCCAGGTCAGGAGTCTGAGCTTACTGATCACTTCTTGCTCTTTTATAGATGATAGAGTATTCAACCTTGAACTTTCTTTTCTGTAAAATGAGAATGAAAATTGTAAAAAACACTCAGGGTCTGCAACGAACAGAAACTACTCAATTGTATAATATGACTTTAACACTCGTCAAACATCTAAAACTAAGGTTAAAGCTGAGCTTGAAGACATTCATAGGAACAAATTCATTTTATGATCTAAGTGTAGAAGTAGCCCTATGTGAGTTAGATTGGTCAAAAAGACAATTAAAAAAGAAATAACATTTACTTTCAGAAACCTTTCCCCAATGACTAAGTTTTCTTATGTAAGGTCAAGGCTAGAGGCTATGATTACAAATCACATAACCTTGCAAAAACACACTGCAAAGAACCAGGGGCCACCAAAATCCTTTATAATTGGGGGCTTTATTCCATATGCCTATGGGTAATTTATAATTACTTCCCTTTCTGACTTTTAAACTTTCAATTTCACTACTATTTCAATAAAGAGCGGAAATGCTTAGAGACAATCCTCCAAACAAACGGAATGACTCTAGTTTATATAATCAACATTTATCATCTGGCATCCTGAAAAAAGTACATAAAACATGAGTCTGAATATGAAACTAGTTTTTTCCAGGAGTTCGTTTTATATGTGTTATTCCTGTTGGTGTGGCACATGAGATTTCCCCGAAATGGTATTTGATTCCTAATGGATATCTAAGTTTGAATTTGAGTGCTTAAACAAGCCCATAGAATTCCAAAAATACAAATCCACACAGTGCTGTTTCTAGTTTCTGCAACTCTAACAAGCATGTACATGTGTTCCCTCCCATCTGGGAAATTAGAAAAGAAGCTCTTGTACCATGGTTCTGAGAAGCTAACATTACAGATGATTACTGTAACCACTAATGGCAGCATTTGGAAAACAGGGGATGGTTACAGCATAGTAGGGGACATTTAAAAACGTACAAGTATACATTTTCAGGGCTCTGTATCTGCACCATTTGAAACTGCAAAAGGCTAAAATGGGAGGAAAGATACCGAATCTGATAAAGCTAAAGAAGACTATTGTCCCCCACCTTTATAAAAGTCTGCCAGGCACTGACACACGTACGGTAAAGCAATAACGGCCATGATATTCTGGTGAGATGTAACAGTGGATCTGGCTCAGCCCTTGATTAAAGGAGTTCCTATAGTGTATAATGAATATTCACTATAGGTGAGTTCCTGGCAGGCTGGGAGATTTTCGTGTTCATTTTTGCACCCCCAGTGTCTGGAACATAGTACATACAGAGCAACTGATGGAAAAAATGGAATTAATGCAGAGATAACTAAAAGAATGAGTAAATGAATGAAATAAGCCACTGAACTAGCTTTTCTAAACAGAGAAATATTTGGGTTTCAGGACTGACAGTATAAATGATGGAATTAAGTGGAAAATGCTTTCAATAGGGAAGATTCTCAGTATTTATCTCCTTAATTCCTTAAGTCTATGCTTAAGATTTTATTTAAAAAAAAACTCAAGTCTGAACTATGTATCGCCAAGGATACACCTATTAATAAGAGAAAATACTTCTGGTTAGATCATAATGGTTCATTTACATAACTATTCTCAATTGAGGCTCTTTGCAAATATCAAAAGGGTGTAGAAAACAACAACAATTAGCCTTGGAAATGAAAGTAAACCAAGTACAATTTATCATTATGCTCTACTCCTTTGATATGCTAATTATCCCAAGTAAAGATAGCAGTCATTAACAAGTCCCTATATGTTGAGAACATTAGTGTCAATATAGGTACAAACTACCAATTAACTAATTGCTGAAAGACATTAGCTGAACAAGAAATACTGCAAATCACAGGTCACGTAACAGGACGGTAAAAAAGCCATTGTATTTCTCAATTCAAAAAGGCTTACAATAAAGTTATAACTGTTACTAGCAAAACCACTCAGTGGGTATATATGGCTATACAGGCGCTATTACATAGTATGTCGAAAATCAAGTAAGTGCTTCTGTGTTTGTTTGTTTGCTGGCCTTAAACACCTGGGCTCAAGTGATCCTCCTGCCTCAGCCTCCCAAGTAGCTGAGACTACAAGCATGAAGTACACCCACCTAAGTAAGCACCATTTTAAAATGGTATTAAGCTAGACTCAGAATTAAGTGTAATTCCTCGAGTAACCAAAAACTAGGTCTAGGTAAGTACTTCATCATACAAAAGTTATGAGTTTTGTTGCCTACCCTGTCACCCAGGCTGGAGTGCAGTGGTGCAATCTCGGCTCACTGCAAGCTCCACCTCCCAGGTTCATGCCATTCTCCTGCCTCAGCCTCCCGAGTAGCTGGGACTACAGGTGCCCGCCACCATGGCCAGCTAATTTTTTTTGTATATTTAGTAGGGACGGGGTTTCATCATGTTAGCCAGGATGGTCTCAATCTCCTGACCTCATGATCCACCCACCTCGGCCTCCCAAAGTGCTGGGATTACAGGCGTGAGTCACTGCGCCTGACCAAGTTATGAGTTTTTGACAAACTATATGCAAATTTGCAAAACAGAATCCTATTTTAAAATATACAAAGTGAGGTTAGTATTTTAGAGGCTCCAATATCCATCAAATTATATAAATTTAGATTTTTTTAATCAAGTTTTTTCAAGTGGGAGAGAATAAGACTCTCTTAGGGTACTACCATTCATTTAAGCATTTAACAAAATAAATAAAATATATAGTATGTTACAAATGTTATAGAGAAAAATTAAAGCAGAGAAAGAAGATAAGGAATGAGGAGGAAATGAAAGTTTAAAAGGGTGCTCAAAGTTGGCTTTATGGAGAATCAGCAGTGGCCTTTCATTACTTCACAGAGATTGAAGATAAAAAGTGCTCTTGACTTGCTATGTTATATATTAGCATATACAGCCCCAATCAAAATTTGAATTTGGGTTCTACTGGCATAAAGACATCACAATGTGTTATGGTAGGAATATGGTAGGAATGAAATAAAATCTAAGCAGAAGAGATAGTCAAGAACAAGGAAAGTGACATAAGTAACACCTTGGTCTCACTGCTAAGAGGTCTGTCTCATAATGACACTGGTCATTTCAGTAATTAGGTTATTTCCTCTTCATAAACATACTGGGAAATGTACAAGAGCCAGGGAAAGCAGTATAGTCAGAAAGCAAAACAAATCCAAAAGTAAGGGAATGAAGTTGAGCCAAACAGATGAGGAAGGGCAATAAACGGGTCCCCTGTGGCTAAACCCGGGGCTTTACTCCATGAAGGAGGATGTTGCAGCACTGGATTGGGGGTTCCAAAAGCCTAGTTACAGCCTATCTCCAACATATACTGAGTTCTTGGTTAAAAATTATCTTGATATTTTGATATCCCTTATGAAGGCAGCATTTAGTAGTTACTTCTGATTTGGTTCCTCCAAACGGAAATGGGAGTAAAAATATTCTCCCCACCTAGTCCAGACAAAATGGGCCACTCTTTATACATTAGCAGAACTTGACTAACATCTTTGCATTTGCCATTCCCCTTCTTAAAAAGTTCTTTCTCTCCTTCTTTTCTTAATTGGTGTGGCTTTAAGTTTAACTCTTTTTGTAAATTCACTTGCTCCATTAAGATTCCTTTCAATTACAATGTGATCTATGTCCTCCCTCGGTAGTTTTCCCCATGTTGCTTCATGAATTCCCCATGCTGTTTCAGCAATATATATTTTATATTCCAAATAGATTGTGAATTTCTTGAGGGCAGGGTAGAGATCTCCTTCTTCCTACTAGGCCCAGTAATATCAGCTAACATTTATTCCGTGTTTACTCAATAGTCACTAGCTTCCAGCTGTATATGCATTATCTCTAATCTTCGTAACAACTGTGTAAGGTAGGAACTAATTATTCTCACTTGCAGATGAAGAAACTGAGGCTCAGAGAGATTAAATGGTGAAGACGAGTTTTGAACCCATGTATGCTGACTCAGACCCTAGCCTCTTAATCATGATACTATATCCTCTAGGATGCTATTGGGCACAAAGAAGAGACTCAGCACCAGTGCTCAAAGAAATGTACAAAAAACTTGGAAACTCACATGCAGGAAAGATTTACTGTATATTTACTTGTTCTACATTTAGTTTCTAAATACTGTATGGCCCAAAGATCATGAGCAACTTAAGGAACCATTTCTTCTTCCCTTATTATCCAAGAATAAATGATATTGTCTGCGCCAGGCACACAGTAGATATTCAAAATAGGTTAAAAGTATATGCTTTATGTGTTTTAATGTCTACTTTTAGAAAGTACAGGGCAAGAAATTAAAATTAACAAATGTGTAAAGACTAAAGGCTATAGAAGTCACTGTGCCAAATTAAATGTATTCACCTGACATCTTTACATGGACTCAGTTAATTAAGGAAGGAGAATGGCTTCTCTGAGGACATCAATGAGGACCATGGCATTCTAAGGTGGTAATATCAACCTTCCTGTAATAATGTACAGTTAGGGCCATTCTATGATTAACTAACTATATTCAGTGAAAATAAGAAGCACTGATTGTCAGGTCAGGAAAGGATAACTGCAATGTTCTTGAAATAGCTACTTCCTACAGGGTGAGCCCAGGACACCAGGACAGAGCTGCTGCCACCTGCCCATGTCTTCCAAAAGCGACATTTTGAGCTCATTACTACTAGATGTCACAATACAGAATAGGGTAAGTTTTTTTTTAATTCTATCTTGCTTATTATTTTCATAAACAAAGATGATTTGACTGCTCTTATTTATGCAGGAATATGTTTGTGAAGCTGTACTTATCCTTAATATATTGGTTATAGCTACTGTTTATAAAACTAAATTGAAACACATGTCATACAAACAAACTTTAGGGAGGAAAATCCTGGCTCTTTGAAAATAATGATGATCAAGATTTTGTTGGCCAAATACTGTCCAATCAGTTATTATACCCAACAGACACAGCCTTGAGAATCACCAGCTTTTGAATAGTCACACATTAATCTAAAAGGTGTGTGAAATGGAGCCCCTACTCTGGAGGCCAGAGAGGTTGGGTGAGGGGAATCCTTTGTAGTATAGCCAGGGTCCTCACTGGAAGCAAATGATGCTTCCTGGCTTCTGCCAACTTCTCTACTCATAAAAGTTTTTAGAGAAAGAATCTGGAGTGTGGAGTTTCCCCTACTGCCCTAAGTGTGCTCTTAATACATTTGATAAGCTTCCTCTGGGCTTACTTAAAGTATCAATTTTTGCCAAGACAATCCTAAGCAAAAAGAACAAAGCTGGAGGCATCATGCTACGTGACTCCAACCTATACTACAAGGCTACAGTAACCAAAACAGCATAGTACTGGTACCAAAACAGACATACAGACCAATGGAGCAGAATAGACACCTCAGAAATAACACCACACATCTACAACCATCTGATCTTCGACAAACCTGACAAAAACATGTAATGGGGAAAGGATCTCCTATTCAGTATGTTGCTGGGAAAACAGGCTAGCCATATGCACAAAACTGAAACTGGACCCCTTCCTTACACCTTATACAAAAATTAACTCAAGATGGATTAACAACTTAAATGTAAAACCCAAAACCATAAAAACCCTAGAAGAAAACCTAGACAATACCATTCAGGACATATGGGCAAAAGCTTCATGACAAAAATGCCAAAAGCAATTGCAACAAAAGCCAAAATTGAAAATTGACAAATGGGATTTAATTAAACTAAAGAGCTTCTACACAGCAAAAGAAAGTATCGTTGGAGTGAACAGGCAACCTACAGAATGGGAGAAAATTTTTGAAATCTACCTATCTGACAAAGGGCTAATATCCAGAGTTTACAAGGAACTTAAACATATTTACAAGAAAAAAAACAAACAACCCTATCAAAAAGTGGGCAAAGGATATGAACAGACACTTCTCAAAAGAAGGCATTTGTTTGGCCAACAAACATATGAAAAAGAGCTCAACATCACTGGTCATCAGAGAAATGCAAATCAAAACCACAGTGAGATACCATCTCATGCCAGTCAGAATGGCAATTATTAAGAAGTCAGGAAACAACAGATGCTGGCGAGGTTGTGGAGAAACAGGAACGCTTTACACTGTTGATGGGAATGTAAATTAGTTCAACCATTGTGGGAGACAGCATGGCAATTCCTCAAGGATCTGGAACCAGAGATACCATTTGACCCAGCAATCCCATTACTGGGTATATACCCAAAGGAATATAAATCATTCTACTATAAAGACACATGCATACATAGGTTTACTGCAGCACTATTTACAATTTTTGCAACTGTTTTACGAATCATATTGAACTACATCTTTGAGTTTCTCTGAGTTGTGATGTTATGCATTCCTGCTGATAAAAACCTTGTGCCAGACTTTAATCCAAGAGCCCAACAAGTTTAAACAATAGTGAGTTTTTATTTAAGCACATATGAAACAGACATGAATACCATTTACCACATCCTTAATACGTCTCCATAACTTAAAGAAAAGGTAGAAGATGTATTCACTTAAATCGTTTAGGTGGCTCTTTTAATGGATAGGAAGATTTAAAGTTGCAGTTGATATAGTGGACATATGTGATATTGCTTGCCTGATACCCTCTCCTCTCTCAGGAAGCTTCTCTCTCTTCTAGACCCCACCCCCAGGCCCCAATCCGTAAAGCCCCTCAAAGAGCTTCCTGTCCTAATACCTGGGAACAGCTGATGGGTCTAGGAAAAGGCTGGTCCTTTCTTCAAGATTTGTGACTAAATGTAGGCCAGTCTCTGCAGATGCAGAAGAAATGGTGAGCTGCCATATTTCCCATATATAGAAGAGACCAGGCTGTGGTGGGAGAGAATAAAGCCAACCTGCTGGGAGAAGTGCAGGCAAGAGAGGAGAGAGTCCAGGCAGCATCCACACCCTTAGTTCCTGTGGGTCTTGGTGCAGCTGTGTCCCTGCTCTTACTGTGGTTTGACTATTCAATCTGCTCCTAGCTTTGGAAAGCTAATAAATTGCACTATATGCCTAAGCTGGTTTGAAGTGGTTTTCCTTCACTTATAACCAACATTTTCTCTGGTAAATTATTAAACGAACACAGATGACACCACGGTAAATCAAACTCTACAGAATTAAGTGCTAAAAAGGGCTTTCATCTCTGGGTTATTTGAATACTTACTACACAGTGTGGAATGCTGGGCCTTCATCAGAACCTCAAAGGGCTCTGAGGACACAGATAAGCTGCATGCCTCCTTACCTGCCAGAGGAAAGCTTTGCTAGAGCAATCTGCCTGCAGTACCAGGCTCTGGCTATAGCTAGGCTAGTTCTCTGGACTTGCTGCCTCTCATCTTGGTGGACTTAAAACAGCACAGTAACACATCCTGGGCCTTAGAACACCTTGCACTCACTGCTCCTCTTCAATCAATGAAGGAAAAGGTATCAGAGGTGCCAATGCTAAAGGCAGAAAATCCATAGGAGTATGCCATTTGAATACATGAAATGTTTTGCCAGTTTATCATGCAACAACTACACGAATATGATGATCTTCTAGCTATAGACAAAATTTTTGTCAAAGAGATCACATGCTTTCATTTTTTTTCCATATGACATGCTAAATGTGGGTATTTGGAGAAGCAAAAAGGTTTACACAGCTTTTGCAAATGTACGTGGAAGTGCCCAGCAAGATCCAGGCATGAGGAAGGTGCTCAATAAGTTAGTTTCACTTGCCTTATTTCTTTCAGACTCTTGGTCTGATATCCTTTTCAAAACCATGCTATTCTTCCTGCTATTAAAGCTACACCCTGTCCTCTCCTCTCCAGGTTGCTGTGAATTCTGGAGTTTAGCGATTCTTCCCAGGTGGCTCTGTGAGTGAAGACAGAAGGGAAAGCCACCCTAGAAGCTAATAACACCTTTGTTCCTACCCACCCAGCCAGCAGGTCACTTGGCTCAGACTGTCTGTGCCCATGGCAACTAAGCAATTGGTTATTTCCAAGTTATTTCAGATACCTGGCAGCACATGCTCATTAACTGGAGACCATCACAAACCACAAGCGTTAGAGAATGGAGCCCACTAGAGAGTCTCCCCTTGACGTGATCAGAGGTCTTTTGATTTGCATATTGTTATCTGTAGAACCTAAAGGGCAGCTTAGAGTTGAAAAAGAGAGGCCTGGAGCCATATCCCTCTGGAACTGTCTATGGGAAGGCCCTGTACAGAAAATGAGCTCTGAGAACCAGTGTAAATACCATATATTTCTCCCAGCCTCAAAAGCCCTCCTCCATCTACATTAGCCTGACATTTAAGCTCCTCCAAGGTGTCTTCCCAATTTCTTTTTTTTTTTTTGAGACGGAGTTTCGCTCTCGTTGCCCAGGCTGGAGTGCAATGGTGTGATCTTGGCTCACTGCAACCTCCGCCTCCCAGGTTCAAGCGATTCTCCTGCCTCAGCCTCCCGAGTAGCTGGGTTTACAGGCATACACCACCATGCCCAGCTAATTTTTGTATTTTTAGTAGAGAGGTGGTTTCTTCGTGTTGGTCAGGCTGGTCTCGAACTCCCGACCTCAGGTGATCCACCCACCTCGGCATCCCAAAGTGCTGGGATTACAGGCATGAGCCACCATGCCCGGCCTCCCAATTTCATTTTTCTACCACCCTGCTGATACATCCTAACTACTGCAGGTTCCCACACTCCATGTCATCACTCCATCAGGTCTCTGCTCTGCCACTCAATCCTGGACGCCTTCTCCCCGGTCTACATCCCCCAACCCCAAATCTCCAAATTGGACCTACTCTTTTTTTTATTTATCTATTTATTTATTTTTATTTATTTATTTTTTGAGACGATTCTTGCTCTGTCCACCAGGCTGGAGTGCAGTGGCACGATCTTGGCTCACTGCAAGCTCTGCCTCCCAGGTTCATGCCATTCTCCTGCCTCCGCCTCCCGAGTAGCTGGGACTACAGGCGCCCGCCACCACGCCTGGATAATTTTTTGTATTTTTAGTAGAGACAGGGTTTCATCGTGTTAGCCAGGATGGTCTCGATCTCCTGACCTCGTGATCCGCCCGCCTTGGCCTCCCAAAGTGCAGGGATTATAGTGAACCTACTCTTTTAAGTTCAATTTAGAAGTCATATCCTCTCATGAGACTTCCTTTATCCTACCAGCTCATGTAATGGTCTCTCCTCTAAAATCCTACAGGTTTTTAGGTTCACCCAAATATGATAGTATTTGATTGGTTTGTGTGTGTGTGTGTGTGTGTGTGTGTGTGTGTGTGTGTGTGTTTTAAAGTTATTTACATATGTGTTATCATTTATCTGATTGGGTTCCTTAAGAGCAATGACTGTTTCATTCATTTTTGTATACAAAATGAATTAATATATTCATTTTGTATTTGTTTCATATTTTGTATTTGGTGTCCAGTATGGTGCTTACCACAAAAACAGGCACCCAATAAATATCTGAAAAACAAATGTATGAATGTGTATATGAATGACTACATATATTTGCCAGTAAATTACTGTTTCAAAACTGGGTTTCAAAAGCAGACTTCCTTAGTAGACACAACAGAAATCTATTGAAATTATTAACTTGACTTTCCAATGTAAATCAGTTGGTATAAGTTTGGGCAGAATAGGCCATTTCTCCCCAGGTTTAGATCATGCCTTGGAATAGGAGGAAAATTTGGATCTGTACACTTAACTGAATGATCAAACCCTAGAGTGCAGAAAAACAAGAGCAATCTTTTTGCCATGTCTAACCATAATCGGATCTCCTAAAACTAGAGCCAATAAACTTCTAAACAACACATTATATGGTGTTCACTGAGTCAACACTCATGATTTGCCAACCACGTGTAAGGCATTGTGACAAGCATAATAAAGAAAAACAGAAGGATTGTAAGAATCAGTCCCACTCCTCAAAGAGGTCAATATAAACACATGAAAATGAGAGAAGTTTCTTCCTTCTTCTTCAATAGGAGATCCTACAAGGTAATACGTGATTAATTATCAAGAGCCCTATGAGGAAAGGATGAAGAACTCCTCAGTTGTTTCTATATACCGAGAATGAATTCGTTAGACTCTTTTCTGACATTATGCTTTTAAAAGAAAAGAGATAAAGAAAGCAAGAGAGTATGCTGAGACTTTGCTAGAGTCGCTTATCAGCTTAAGGAGTTTTGGGGCTGAGACGATGGGTTTTCTAAATATCCAATCATGTCATCTGCAAACAGAGGTAATTTGACTTCCTCTCTTCCTGTTTGAATACTCTTTATTTCTTTCTCTTGCCTGATTGCCCTGGCCAGAACTTCCAATATTATGTTGAACAGAAGTGGTGAGAGAGTACATCCTTGTCTTGTGCTAGTTTTCAAAGGGAATGCTGCCAGCTTTTGCCCATTCAGTGTGATATTGGCTTTGTGTTTATCATAAATAGCTCTTATTATTTTGAGATACATTCCATCAATATCCAGTTTATTGCATGCAAAAATCACAAGCATTCCTATACACACCAATCATAAGCAAACAGGGAGCCAAATCATGAGTGTACTCCCATTCACAACTGCTACAAAGAGAATAAAATACCTAGGAATACAACTTACAAGGGATGTGAAGGATCTCTTCAAGAACTACAAACCATTGCTCAAGAAAATAAGAGAGGACACAAACAAATGGAAAAACATTCCATGCTCATAGATAGGAAGAATCAATATCGTAAAAATGGCCCTACTGCCCAAAGTAATTCATAGATTCAATGCTATTCCCATCAAGCTACAATTGACTTTCTTCACAGAATTAGAAAAAACTACCTTAAATTTCATATGGAACCAAAAAAGAGCCCATAGAGCCAAGACAATTCTAAGCAAAAAGAACAGAGCTGGAGGCATCACGCTACCTGACTTCAAACTACACTACCAGGCTACAGCAACCAAAACAGCATGGTACTGGTACCAAAATAGATATACAGACCAATGGAACAGAACAGAGACCTCAGAAATAACACCACACATCTACAATCATCTGATCTTTGACAAACCTGACAAAAACAAGCAATGGGGAAAAGATTCCCTATTGCATAGCGTTGGGAAAACTGGCTATCCTTATGCAGAAAACTGAAATTGAACCCTTCCTTACACCTTATACAAAAATCAACTCAAGATGGATTAAAGATTTAATCCATCAGGACACAGGCATGGGCAAAGACTTCATGACTAAAACGCCAAAAGCAATGGCAACAAAAGACAAATTTGACAAATGGGATCTAATTAAACTAAAGAGCTTCTGCACAGCAAAAGAAACTATCATCAGAGTGAACAGGCAACCTACAGAATGGGAGAAAATTTTTGCAATCTATCCATCTGACAAAGAGCTAATATCCAGAATCTACAAGGAACTCAAACAAATTTACAAGAAAATAACAAACAACCCCATCAAAAAGTGGGCAAAGGATATGAACAGACACTTTTCAAAAGAAGACATTTATGTGGCCAACAAACATGAAAAAAGCTCATCATCACCGGTCATTAGAGAAATGCAAATCAAAGCCACAATGAGATACCATCTCATGCCAGTTAGAATGGCAATCATTAAAAAGTCAGGAAACAACAGATGCTGGCAAGGATGTGGAGAAATACGAACACTTTTACACTGTTGAGAGTGTAAATTAGTTCAACCATTGTGGAAGACAGTGTGGCGATTCCTCAAGGATCTAGAACTAGAAATACCATTTGACCCAGCAATCCCATTACTGGGTATATACCCAAAGGATTATAAATCATTTTACTATAAAGACACATGCACACATATGTTTATTGCAGCACTATTCACAATAGCAAAGACTTGGAGCCAACCCAAATGCCCATCAATGATAGCCTGGAAAAAGAAAATATGGCATATATACATCATAGAATACTATCCAGTCATAAAAAAGGATGAGTTCATGTCCTTTGCAGGGACATGGATGATGCTGGAAACCACCATTCTCAGCAAACTAACACAAGAACAGAAAACCAAACACCGCATGTTCTCACTCATAAGTGGGAGTTGAAGAATGAGAACACATGGACACAAGAAGGGGAACATCACACACCAGGGCCTGTCAGGGGGTAGGGGGCTAGGGGAGGGATAGCATTAGGAGAAATACCTAATGTAGATGACAGGTTGGTGGGTACAGCAAACCAGCATGGCACATGTATACCTATGTAACAAACCTGCACATTCTGCACATGAATCCCAGAACTTAAAGGAAGGAAGGAAGGAAGGAAGGAAGGAAGGGAGGGAGGGAGGGAGGGAGGGAGGGAGGGAGGGAGGGAGGGAGGGAGGTAAAGAAAGAAAGAAAGAAAGAAAGAAAGAAAGAAAGAAAGAAAGAAAGAAAGAAAGAAAGAAAGAGTAATGGGTATCTCAAGAAAAAGTATGAACATCTTCTAGAAGTGGTAAAAGGTGAGGAAAGAGGCTCTGGCTTTCCCAGACTGCATAATGCTAAATAGTAAGCTATGGATGTTTTTCAGTGGACATCATTCTACCTCTTCCGGTTTTCAGAACATCTAGCTCAAAATGTGTAGAGACAGGAGGACCAGTATCAGCACCCAAATGAGGGTGTAGCATGAACTTGTGAACAGTAGGCAGCTGAAGCCTGGATGAGCGGATGACTTCATTTAGAGCCTTGCTACCCAAAGCAACAGCATCAGCTACACCTGGGGGATATTTTAACAAATTCCTAGGTTATTTGTATGTGCACTGAAGTTTAAGAAGCACTGGCTTAGAGGACTGACAATTAAGAAAAAGAAAACGGGTCCAAAGATGAAAAAAAGAACTGAAAAGCAACACACTGAAGTATTATCCTATGATTAAACAGGAGAACACAGATGAACTATGATGTTTCACTGGTCTAGGAGAGTGGAAGATATTTTACACAAAGTTTAGGATTTAAGAATAAGTATACAAGTGATAAAAAAGTAGACAAATTGTACTTCATGAAAATTTTAAAACTATTTGCATAAAAAGACAAATACCAATAAGGCAAACTATGAAATGGGAGAAAATATTGTCAAATTATATATCTGATAAGGGATTAATATCCAGAATATACAGAGAATTACTAAACTCAGTAACAAAAAAACCAAACAACCTCAATTCAAAAACGGGCAAAGAACTTGAATAGACATTTCTCCAAAGAAGATATAGAAACAGCCGGCTGGGTGTGATGGCTCATACCTGTAATCCCAGAATTTTGGGAGGCCAAGGTGGGTGGATTGCAAGGTCAGGGGTTCGAGACCAGCCTGGCCAAAATGGTGAAACCCCATCTCTACTAAAAAAAAAATACAAAAAAAAAAAAAAATAGCCAGGCGTGGTGGTGCAGGCCTGTAATCCCAGATACTTGGGAGGCTGAGGCAGGAGAACTGCTTGAACCCAGGAGGCGGAGGTTGCAGTGAGCCGAGATTGCCCCACTGCACTCCAGCCTGGGTGACAAAGCGAGATTCCATCTCAAAAAAAAAAAAAAAAGAAACAGCCAATAAGCATATGAAAAGATGTTCAACATAAATCAAAACTACAATAAGATATCACCTCAAATCCATTAGGATGGCTACTATCCAAAATAATAGCAAGTGTTGGCGAGAATGTCAAGAAACTGGAGCACTTGTGCACTGTTGGGGGTAGTGTAAAATGGGATCGCTGCTATGGAAAACAGTACGGCAGTTTCTCAAAAAGTTAAAAACGGAATCACCATACTATCCAGCAATACCACTTCTGAATAGATACTCCAAAATAACTGAAAACAGGATCCTAAAGAGCTATCTGCACACCTGTGTTTTTTTATTTTATTTTATTTTATTTATTTATTTTTTTTTGAGATGGAGTCTCGCTCTGTCACCCAGGCTGGAGTGCAATGGCGCAATCTCGGCTCACTGCAACCTCCACTTCCCGGGTTCAAGTGATTCTCCTGCCTCAGCCTCTCGAGTAGCTGGGATTACAGGCACCTGCCACCATGCCTGGCTAATTTTTGCATTTTTAGTAGAGATGGGGTTTCGCCTTGTTGGCCAGGCTAGTCTCGAACTCCTGACCTCAGGTAATCTGCCCACCTTGGCCTCCCAAAGTGCTGGGATTACAGGCATCTGCCACCACACCCAGCCACACCTGTGTTTATAATAGCATTATTCACATTAGCTAAAAAGTAGAAGCAACCCAAGTGTCCATCAACAGATGAATGGAAAAGCAAAACATGGTATATATGTACACATATATGGAATATTATCCAGCCTTACAAAAAAAGAAAATTCTGACATCCTACAACGTGGATGAACCTCGAGGACATTATACTAACTAAATTAGCCAGTCACAAAAAAGACAAACAGTACTGCACAATTCCACTTATCTGAAGTTTGAGAGTAGTCAAAATCGCAGTGACAGAAAGTGGAATGGTGGTTTCCAGGGGGATGATTTCTTTAACAGGTTTAGAGTTTTAGTTTTATAAAATGAGAAAGTGAGAAAGTTACAGAAACGGATGTCATGATGGTCGCACAACATTATTATCAATGTACCTAATATCACTGAACTGTAACTAAAAAATGGTTAAGATGGTTTTTATGTTATATATATTTTACCACAATAAAAAAAATAAAGAAAAGAGAATAAGCACCTATGGCATATTCCAAAAACTTGGATAAAAGGGAGGAAGAATCATAGTAGAAACTGAAAAGTACAACAAGGTACTTCTCAAATACTTTTCATACTGGTCACGTCCATATACCCCGGATGAGCCAGAGAAAGGCGTCAGGTGGAGAGAGCTGGCATGGGCGAGACTATCCCCTTTGGGTCAGTGATATCAGTGAAGCTGTGCCATTGGTATAATGGTATAACCAGGGATCAGGAGTAAAGAAAATCAGAAAATGTTAAAGGTAAAAAGGACCTTAGACATCTGATTCAGCGGTTGACAGCCTATGTTGTGAGAAGTAGGGATCAAATGTACCTTAAGAGTATGTGTCTTGGCAGGGTGCGGTGGCTCACACCTGTAATCCCAGCACTTTGGGAGGCCAAGGTGGGCAGATCACGAGGTCAAGAGATCAAGACCATCCTGGCTAACAAGGTGAAACCCTGTCTCTACTAAAAATACAAAAAATTAGCCGGGCATGGTGGCGGGCGCCTGTAGTCCCAGCTACTTGGGAAGCTGAGGCAGGAGAATGGCATGAACCCAGGAGGTGGAGCTTGCGGTGAGCCAAGATCACATCACTGCACTCCAGCCTGGGCGACAGAGTGAGACTCTGTCTCAAAAAAAAAAAAAAAAAAAAAAGAGTATGTGTCTTTAGAGCAGCAAAGGGGAAACCAAATGGTCCCTGTGTAAGCCCTTGGTCCCCATGTCAGCCCTTCCTCCCCTGGTCAGCTGTAGTGGCTACTATTCTGTTTTATATAATCATTGCAGGAGAAAGATTCATTTGTAAAAATATTTCTAGTATATTAAAAAGTAAAGTTTGTAACTCTTGATTTCAACACCAAAATTTCACAAATTTACGAAGGGAGAAACTGAGATAACTTCCAGAACTGAGATAACGGAAGTTATCTGTCCAATATGTAGAGCTAATTAGATACAGAGATGAAACCAAAACCCATGACTGCTGATTCCTGCATCAATGTTTTTTTTTCACGACATCATTCTGCTATATCCAAATTTGCTTTGAAAATTCTTTGTCACTTACTAAATGAGGTCTGTGTGAATAAAAAAGGAAATGCAAGATCCCAAAGAGGAAGAGAGATCAAAAGTGTCTCTACACTGAGTTATGAAGAATAGAAATATTCATAAAAGGAAGAACATATTATATTAATAGCTCCCTAAATGAAAAACTATAAATGTTGGACTTAGCATAACTATTGAGTAGGTGGCTTTGTTAGAACTTTACTAATTATAGAAGTGCTGATGAACAGATTTAGAAGAACCATAAATTCAGTCAGACTTTATCACTGGCTTGGGTTAGTAAGAATATTTCTTTAATTTCTAAACTAATAACAGGTTTAAGATAGACCAATTGATGAACATTTATAGTTTCGTGCTTATGAACAGAAATTGTGACATTTCACGATGCATAAATGATGATGAAAGTATTGAAGCATCCTAGCAAGTTGCAATTCTCCAGGGAAGCTATTAACAGCTTAACATTTCTAGTTCACATTGGAATGATTCAACTTGAATGAGACAAGTTCTCAAAAAATTTTATACTAAATAGGCAAGAAAGAATGCAATTAAGATAGCAGACTAGGTTGGGCCTTTAAGCTAGGTTTCTTGGGTCTACTGCTAAATCAAATGTTGCCATATATATATATGTGAAAACCTGTAAAACAGTACAAAGCAGGCTTCACAAACTATGTTAAAAAATAAACAAACATAAAAACAAACAAAACTATGTTTAAAAAAAAAACGGAACAGCAAAATAATCCTCCTAATGCTCCAATAAAATAAACTGGACTTTCCCCTCAGATAAACCAAGGCTGGACCCACTACTGCCTATGCAGCATGGGCAATGGATGTTGCTGATTCTTTTTCTTTTCTCCTGTCTTCAATTCCATTTTCCTGCTATACTGAGTATAAGTTTGGGGCCAGCCTCAGGATTCATTAATACAGAATTCATTCAACAAACATGTATTAATGCCCCACTATGTGTTGGGCAACACCTAAAGGCACTAAGGATCTACGCCCTCAAAATCTTCACAGTCTAGTGGGAAAAATAAACAACTAAACTATTCATTAGGCTGAAATTGTTACAATAAAGGCATATGATAAGAGAGATGTGCACCTGCAGCCGGACAAAGGAAGGATGCAAGAGAGGGCACGACTGGGCATCACATGAGGCTTTTCAAGGAAGAGGTAATGGTCCTAGTTGGAAGGAATCCAAATGATCCAAGGGAGTAAAAAGGATAAGGGGGTGGATGGAAGAGATGACAGCACACGGAAAGTCACTGAAGTAGAAGGGCACATGGTACATTCAAGGGACTGTTCAGGAAGGATGAAATACTGGATACTGGTGAGAAGGGTGAAAGACAAAGCTGAACACATTTAAGGGCCAGAGCGTAAACAGCCTTAATGCATTTTAGTTAAGGAACTTGTTTTATTTTAAGGGCAATGTGGAAAGGGATTACAAAGTGAGTAATGACATAATCAGACTGTTTTACAGTATTCTACGAGCTTTGGAAGGCTGGATTCAAGAAGGACAAGGGTTGAATGCATGGTGGAAGAGGGAGCTCTAGAGTGGTCCAGAGGAGAGGAAGAAAGATGTTCACATAGAGAAGCAACTTGGTGCAGGGTGTCAGAGCCCAGGCAGAGTGAAGGGAGTGCACACCCAAGGGAGGGGGCAGGAGCAACAGTAGCAAGTTGGTTACATAAAGGGGGATGGATATAATATATATGTGTGTAACCTATATATTATGTTACAGTAACATATTAAGGATAATGTGAACTAGATTTATCACTTTCAGAGAAGGAAGTTACAAATATGCATAAAGAGAAAAACAGAATGAACCCAGTGTGTTGAATTGGAATTGGAGGTATCAGTATGAAAATGGTTGTTTAACATATTTGGGTAGATATACAGAAGTAATATTGAGCATCAAAATAATGACAGTAACTGACTATAATCCATTAAATGAACTAGAAATTAATGAGTCCATGCTAAATAAATTGAAAGCTTGATAAAAAATAGGATATTTGGGTGGTTTCAAAGGACCTTCCCAAAATACCAATGACAAAGGGGAAAAAAGTAACTTTACAGTGGAAACCCCAACAGACACTGCCTTTAAAGTGATCAGTGTGAACACATCAACAGTAATGAGTCAAACAGATATCCTCTGCCACTTGAGAGAAGGCATGAAAATATATAACATCACCTCTGTGATATTCCTGCCACAGATGCATAAATGGATCTAATCATGAGTGAACATCAGACAAATCCAAATTGAGAGAAATTATATAACATAACTGGCCTATAATCTTCAAAAATGTTGTAAATGTCAAGGACAAACTGAGGAACTATTACACACTAGTGAAACAACTAAAATCACACATGATTCTAAACTGAATTCTGAACCAGGCATGGTAGGTCATGCCAGGGGAGGCTGAGGTGGGAGGAGCGCTTGAGCTCAGGAGTTCAAGACCAGCCTGGGCTACAGCAACACCTCATCTCTTACAAAAAATAACAATGATGATAAATGATTTAAAACTAAACTGAATTCTTCTGCTACAAAGAAATCATTGGGACAATATAAGTGAAATTTGAATGGGATCTTAGAATTGGATGGTAGTAGTATGCCATGTTAATTTCCTGATTTTTTTTTTACCATATTGCAATTATTAATATGTAAGAGAATGCCTTTATTTCTAAGAAATACATACTAAAGTATTTGGAGGTGAAGGCCATCACACCAGCAACTTAGTCTCAAATGGTTTTTTAAAAGTGCTTTTATTGTTCTTACATTTCTATTATAAATTTGAGATCGTTTGAAATTTTCTTTTAAAGGAAAGAATTAAAAGAGGACCAAAAAAAAAAAAAGACAGGAGCTGGAATTTTAAATTAGAAACCCATTGCACATGCTTTCAAGTTTTATGGTACATATTTATACTAAGTTGCATGATAAATTATGTATAATTCCCCCAAATATAACTATTTTTCCCAAATTAAAGAATCTCACCATGCTTGGTCAAAGAAGTCTACCTGGAATAATCTCCACTGGATCCTGGAGTCAAGATTTGAGGCCCAAAGTAGTCAAACCTAAGTCAGCAATGCTTCTTACTGAAATTGCTTAATAAGGCTTATTTCTGTCTGGGTGCTATGCATCGTACCTTAACATACATCGCCAACAACGCTTGAAGATAAATACTGTTATTATTTCTATTTTGAAGATTTGAACTTTTCTCAAGGAGATTAAGCAAAATGTTCAGGATCTTCCTCTAGTAAACAGAGCACTAGAAAAAAAACTTAAGTTTTTCAACTCATGGCCTGTGCTTTTCCCACTGCAATCCAGTAGCTCCCTAGGTCCATGGCACCACGCTCTTCATTGTGGGAGAGACAAAGATGAATGAGGCAAGTTCTCAGAGAAGTATTTCTGCCTTCTCTTCTTCATACCACAGTCAGTATCTTCTGCCTCTTCCCTCTTACTAGGACTCTCTCACATACTAGTTTTCATCAGTGGGTAAGTCCAGGGACATTATTTAATCTACCTTTTTCCTCATTGAAGAGATGCTAAAGCAATACTTTTTTTTTTGACATCACAAACTGAATTTACTTTATTATTATTATGTTTTATTATACTTTAAGTTCTAGGGTACATGCGCACAATGTGCAGGTTTGTTACATATGTATACATGTGCCATGTTGGTGTGCTGCACCCATTAACTCGTCATTTACATTAGGTATATCCCCTAATGCTATCCCTCCCCCATCCCCCCACCCCACAACAGGCCCCGATGTGTGATGTTCCCCTTCCTGTGTCCAAGTGTTCTCATTGTTCAATTCCCACCTATGAGTGAGAACATGCAGTGTTTGGTTTTTTGTCCTTGTGATAGTTTGCTGAGAAGGACGGTTTCCAGCTTCATCCATGTCCCTACAAAGGACATGAACTCATCATTTTTTATGGCTGCACAGTATTCCATGGTGTATAAGTGCCAAATTTTCTTAATCCAGTCTATCATTGATGGACATTTGGGTTGGTTCCAAGTCTTTGCTATTGTGAATAGTGCCACAATAAACATACGTGTGCATGTGTCTTTATAGCAGCATGATTTATAATCCTTTGGGTATATACCCAGTAATGGGATGGCTGGGTCAAATGGTATTTCTAGTTCTAGATCCCTAAGGAATCGCCACACTGTCTTCCACAATGGTTGAACTAGTTTACAGTCCCACCAACAGTGTAAAAGTGTTCCTATTTCTCCACATCCTCTCCAGCACCTGTTGTTTCCTGACTTTTTAATGATCACCATTCTAACTGGCGTGAGATGGTATCTCATTGTGGTTTTGATTTACATTTCTCTGATGGCCAGTGATGGTGAGCATTTTTTCATGTGTTTTTTGGCTGCATAAATGTCTTCTTTTGAGAAGTGTCTGTTCATATCCTTCGCCCACTTTTTGATGGGGTTGTTTGTTTTTTTCTTGTAAATTTGAGTTCTTTGTAGATTCTGGATATTAGCCCTTTGTCAAAAGAGTAGATTGCAAAAATTTTCTCCCATTCTGTAGGTTGCCTGTTCACTCTGATGGTAGTTTCTTTTGCTGTGCAGAAGCTCTTCAGTTTAATTAGATCCCATTTGTCAATTTTGGCTTTTGTTGCCATTGCTTTTGGTGTTTTAGTCATGAAGTCCTTGCCCATGCCTATGTCCTGAATGGTATTGCCTAGGTTTTCTTCCAGGGTTTTTATGGTTTTAGGTCTAACATTTAAGTCTTTAATCCATCTTGAATTAATTAGCAATTCTAAAGATTTACAAATGTGCCTCAGAATATAAGGGTTAAAAAAATGAGTTTATTGAGTTTATGATAACCACTTAGCTAAAACTGGAAAGAAAAAATGACATAGGAGGAGTATAAAGATAAACAGTACGATCTGTGAATAATTTGATGTTGGATAAGAAAAGCCAAAGGCCAACCTAGGAACTATTAGGAGTTCTGGACAACTAAACTGCTGACTCCCAAATTTCTAATGTCTCACTTGGTAGAAGAGATCACCTAAGAAGCTCTCATAAAGAGCAGAAATGGGACTGTTGCTCTCTGGAGAAACAATGGGACCTTTTCATCTCTGTGAGGAGTACACTATTCTTCCCACTTCAGTGATGGTTGAAAAGAAACTGACTCCTCGATAAAAACAGAGTGGGGATAATAAGACACCACTTTATGCCAGGTGCAGTGGCTCACGCCTGTCATCCCAACACTTTGGGAGGCTGAGATGGGAGGATGGATTGAACCCTGGAGTTCGAGGCCAGCCTGGGCAACATGGCAAAACCCCATCTCCACAAAAAATACAAAAATTAGCCGAGCATGGTGGCATGTGTCTATAGTGTCAGCTACTAGGCTAAGATGGCAGGATCAATTGAACCCAGGAGATTGTGGCTCTAGTGATATGTGATCACACCACTGTACTCCAGCCTGAGCCAGGATCAAGAACCTGTCTAAAAAACAAAACAAAACAAAACAAAACAAAAATACTAAGTAAATAATGAATTCTCTCAACTCAGCTCACAATACAAAGTAGGACACGTTGAATATCACTTTCATAATTCTGCTTCATCCATCTGGAACACTGGCTATAAGGCCTTACTAGAACTTTGAGAAGCTTACTGAGTAAATTTTTTTTTTTTTTTACTCAATAAGTTCAAGTATTGAGTAAATTTTCCCAAAAAACAAATACTCTAAAATGAAAGATATCACATCAGGACCATATAATTACTTTCAGCATTTTATGAAAAGGATAAAGGAAACCCTCCTCATAAAACAAAACAAAAAACTATAGGCCGTTTATAGATTACTCAAACTGACATAATTCAGTTTGTAAAATCATTATTTTATTACATGATTCCTATATAAAATCATTATTTTAACATAGGAACTTATAAGAAAACTCAATGCAGTTATGTTTCTTGTGGTTAGTACTGTGTCAGAGAGGGCAGTGGCTTTGGTTTACCTCCAATGGTCTCTCTCAAAAACACCAACTGACTGAGTCTATTCCTGGAATTGCTCTAACCTCCCCTAGTATTTTGTCTGTTCGCACATTGTAATGCACAAGGAACAGTGGTAACATGTGAAATAAGTTCAAAGACCCCAAAGTGGAAGACACTGTTTTCCTGCATCCTACCTACTGTAACTGAAAACTGGGAATTTACTGGAATTGAGAATTTATTATGAGTCAGATGGCTGATAGCCTTTCCAACCAAAACATCTGCTCTACAAAGGCACAACTGCTCCAATCCATTTCCTCTTGGATCTGGAGAATGACCAAGTTGTAGCTTAGCCCTTTCCTTAAAGACACAGGGGCTTGAAATGAAAATGAAATAAAAGTGGATCTCTATGTCACCTTCCAAATTCTACTACTCTTAAATGGTATTAAAATGTAACAAAATATGAGAATAAGTATGTTTTAGACATTAAAAAAATTGCAGTCGGTTCAGTGGAGTAACCAAGGATTTTTATCAGATCATTCAAATTTACAACGGCACAGCTGAAACCAATTCTTTCTCTGGTATTGAGGGAAAAAGGGACATGTATTACCCAAGCACAGTGAAAAAGCGTTTCATTATTCATTTATTTATTCAAAAAATATTCACTGTGCACTTCTACGTGTCAGGCACTATTCTAGGAACAACTGGTGAACAAGCTAGATAATGGCCCTCCTCTTAGAGCCTACCTTTCAGCAGGGGATGACGAATAAACAAGTCAGCCAATTCATAAATAGCCTTCAAAACACTATAGGAGTTATCTTGTTTCCAATGGTTTATTTACAACAATTGATACCAAGATTTTTTTCTAGCAACTACAGAGAGCTACTGCAGTGGTTCAAGTTCTAGCATTTGTTAAAAAACACACATTCCTGAACCCTGCCCTGGGGATTATGATTCAGTAAGTGTGGGTAAGTCAAGGAAATATGATTTTTTAACTTACAAGGGGATTGAACTGCCCATCCAGGTTTGGGGTCTATTGCCTTAGAGCAATAAAAAAATGTGTGAGCTTCCTATCAATATGTTTATATGTATTTATTTATAAGCTATATAGATGAACCTATGTACTAATACATTATGAACATCATAAAACATGCACAAACAGTAGAAATTCTAAGAGGGTGAGATAAAAATCAACACAACTGTATGGCTTACTATATGGGGCATGTTAGGAGGTCTGCAGGTTCCCCACATGGACTGGGGATAGGACAACCACAGGTGAGGCCCTGTAATTCACAGCTTGGAAAGACAGACTCTATCTCAGCCCTCACTCTGCTCCATAACTTACATGGGTGCAGAGAACTAGGCAGAGGAGCATTAAAATTATCATCATCTCAGTGACAAGAATTTGGGAGGCCCTGTGTCTCACTTCACATGCCAACATATACCTGCCCATTCTTGTTAACACACACCAAATATGGTAAAACCAGATCTAAAAAAAGACAAACTCTGTCATAGGTTCGGCAGCCATAACCCTGTTGTGTCAGCTGTTTGAATCATGTGTGAATGAGTCCATGCATGCTAGATATCAGGCAATATGGTAGAGTAGAAAGATCACAGACTTTGGAGTTAGACAGACTAGTGAGAATCATAGCTTCATCGCTTACTGGCTATGTCAACCTGGCTGGATAAGTTATTTAAAACCTGGATGAGTCTATTTCCTCAACTATAAAATGAGAAGTTATAAAACTGCTGTATCAGTAATAGTAGCCACCATTATTGGCACTGTTATCCCAGATCATCTTGGGACTATCTGACCCACCTGTTCCCTGCTATCTGTGGACACTGGGCTTTGCCTGCTTCCCTGGAAATGATACCTATCTGTTGCCTTCTCTGTATGTAAACTCTGTTGTCAAATCCTTGCCTGTCTGTACAAAACCAATTTCTTCCTCCTGACCATGATGAATGAGTACCTCCACAACAGCTGCCCCCTTAGAACCTACTCGCTCCTGGCCAGGCCCACATACATGCCCTTGACTTTGAATTCAGTGTTACGCCTCATGGACCAACAGCCCACACTTGCCCCTTCATTTGGCATCGAGCTTTCTAGTCGTTATGCTTCTGCAGGCACAAAATCTCAACAAGTAGCAACTTCTCTCTTCTAGTCATGGTCTCCTTTCCAGTGTCTCTTGTTTGTGCTTCCTGATATTATTATTTGAATAGTTACATGTACTGAAATCATTTATTGAGTTTGGAGATTAGAAGGCGATACACAAAAGAATCTGCTCACAACGGCAGGAACGGGCATACACATATACACAAAAGCATAGTTTTTCAACTAGGTGACTTTTAAAAGTCAGGCAGCCATCTTTTTTTTTTTTTTTTTTTTGGAGACAGAGTCTCTCGCTCTGTCACCCAGGCTGGAGTGCAGTGGCACGGTCTCGTCTCACTGCAACCTCCACCTCCCAGGTTCAAGCGATTCTCCTGCTTCAGCCTCCCAAGGAGCTGGGATTACAGGCACGCGCCACCACACCCGGTTAATTTTTTATGTTTTTGATAGAGATGGGGTTTTACCATGTTGGCCAGGCTGGTCTCGAACTCCTGACCTCAAGTGATTGGCATCCCCACCCGCCCCCAGCCTCCCAAAGTGCTGGGACTACAGGTGTGAGCCACTGTGCCTGGCCAAGGCAGCCATCTTAAGAAAACTCAGGCCTCTTAAAGAAAAAATCAAAACAATTAAAAATCTATCTAAAATAATTTAGAAAAAGAGAAAATAATCAATATCAAACCAAAATTAGAAAAGACAAAAAACAAAATGAAGAGCAAAAGTAAAAATAAGCTAAGTACATGCAGCAACACAAAAGACAGAAAAATTCACATTAAATCAAGACTATACGTTAGAAATTTTTTTTTAATTAGGGCATTATAAATCCTGATTATATGCTAGTAAATTTGGTAGTTAAATGTAAATAGATAAAAATTCAAGACCACAAGAGGATAAAAGAGAGGTATCGGGAAATAGCAAACCTGAATGGACAACTTACAACAACAGAGTGAAATGTTATTAGGATTACTGTTTTCAAAGATGCCTATAGCCAATGAGTTTGTTGGAGAATGTTTTGGAACTTTCCAAAAATAGGTAAGAATGTTATGCTTTTCAATCTACCTCATAAGGCAAATATAGTCTTATTTTCCAAAAACAGACAAGATATGCACAATGATTTTTTATGAGTATGGCTATAATAACTAAATAAAAACCCTAGTAAATAGAAAAAAAGATCACATTAAAATAATTTTCCTATGAACAAGCAGAGTTTTGTTCTTGTACTGCATAACTAGACACAAGGAAAACAATATAATTCATCACGCAAAGAGGGACAGTATAGAAATCATATCGTTAATGCAACAAGTGCTTATAGAAAACTGCAACACCCATTCTGAGCCCTTTGGCAAAGCAAACACACTACAACCAGGTTGTCAGGTTCTCCCCAAGAGGCCTCGGGGTGTGCAGTTTATGTTCTTGGTGGACAGAGTTTGGCCTTCTGGGCACAGAAACTCAATTCTGTCTGCATACCAATTGCACAGCCATGGCTCAAGGGAAGGTGGCATTATACAGCCAGAATGCTAACTCATTAGTTTACTATCAAAATTAATTTGGTACTAAAATTCTCTATGTTCGTATGGTTACTGCATTCTTTCCCTGTAAGAAGTCAATTTATTACTTTGTAATAATAAATCACAGTCACAAGGATGGAATGAATACTCCAAACCCCTAAGATCAGTGTATTATCTTCCTATGAGAAAGGCTTATGTGGGTTTCTGAGTGAACAAGAGATCAAAACAAGGGGAGTTAGAGGAACTGCCTTTTAATAGAGTCTGAGATCCTAACCTTGTTAGTATATCCAAAGGGAATACCAAGACAGTTTAAAGTCTGTGATCTACATTCATCCTTCTGCATTTACCTCCACTTTCACATTATTCAAAATTCACTGGCGAAACCATCCTTTATTTTGGATAATGCTGGAATAGTTACTGCCAAATTCTCTAACATTATTTTTTCTTATTCTTTCCCTAGCTTTGGTTTGATACATTCTTTCTTCACATATGTGAACACATTCCAACAAGTCCAATATTGCTCACTTGGGATCCATTTCATCTCCCAAAGAGAATATCACGTTTACACCTTAATCCATTTATGTGCTGGCTGCGACTTTCATGGAGTAAGCTGATTCCTTTATTTCCTAGTTCATAGGGAAGCAAGGGTAGCTACTTGACTGAATAGGCAATTAGATATTGGAGAGGAACAAGAATTAAAAATATAAACATGGGGAAAAAGGAAAAAATACATTTGATATATGTCATAGCTCTATATCATCAAGTTATAAAGTTATATGATTACAGAACTCAATAAAATCAACTTAAAATAACTAGTGTTAGCTAAATGGCTTCAGCAAAGTTGCAGGATAAAAATCCATCTAAAACTACTACAAGCCTATATACTATGGGCCGTAGCCAGAAAACACAGTAGAAAAGACCCCATTTATAATTCTGACAAAAATTCAATAAATGGGTATTAATTTAAATCAGAAAATTAGAGACTTATTCAAAGATGACATAAAGTCTGACAGCAGAATTAAAGACAGACAGATAAATGAAGAAATATTATTTGCTCCATGCTGGGAAAACTAAATATAGTAAAGATGACAACATTCCCTAAATTATTATGTAGATTTAATAAAACACTGATTTTACAGAACTTGATATTGGTACTAAAACATGTGTTGGAAAAGTAGGCAAAATGCCAAAGGAAAAACACCAAAGTTATGATAGTGGTTTCAAACTACGAAATTTTAAAATGTTACAAAAGAAGAATTATTTTAAAAGAAGATATGGTATTAGTTGGAATAGAAAAAACCCAAAATAGAATTCAGAAATAAAGATGAAAGGGTGGACACGACAAGCCAGAAGCAATCCGATTACAGAGGGGAAAGTGCTAGTGAGCAACTGGAGAGTAAACAGTAAGACAACGAGTAAGTTAGAGCCTTAAGCTCACACCATACGTGCAGGCTAGAGAGTGAAAATATATGTAGAAGAAAACAGAATAGCATATTCACTCCAACTGTGGAAGAGAGAGAACTTTATAACTGCCAAAAAAGTAGAATATTATCACAGACATTTTCAAATATAAAAAAAGAAAATTTCTATACTCAAAAATATAGCAAATATAATACAAAATATCAAAAGGACAGAGCGCACAGAAGAGCTCAATGTAACAAATGTAAGTGATATAAGGTTATCATCCACTGCATATAATTAAAAAGAGTCAATAACCAGATTTACTTGAAAAAGTGGTCCAAAGAGATGAACCTGGAAAAAATGTACAACTTGATAAAGGTAATTAAAGATCATTTTAAGGTATCATTATATAACTACTAACTTAGCAAAAATAAATAAAAATGATAAAAATGCAATTAGGCCAGGGTTAGAGTACACAAAGCTCTGCTTCCTAGTCCCACATGCCCACCCACCTTCCAGCTGGTCCTAGATTTTGGTACTGGTTATATTTCCAGGGTCCTGTATGGTTACTTATGGTCAAGAACTCACTTTCTACATACTCTGGTAAATGAATCTGCATTTTATTTTCCTGTCCCCAGGTCCTTTGCTGGCAGGCATCACGGTTTCCCTACAGCTATGGTTCCCCATGGCTCTTATTCATGTCCTCAGTCAATTACCCATCTCTCTTTCTGCCAGCTTGAACCCCTTGCCATTATCCAGTACTGTCACCTTCCTAGGTTGACCATCCTACTTAACAGACTGGTTTATTTTCCAAGGCAGAGTTTTTGGCCTATCCCAACCCACAGAAAACAGAGTCTTGATTAAGCATGGAGATACATTTTCATATTGTTGGGAATCCTGTAAGTTGGTCTAATCTTTCCTGAATGCAACCTAAAATATGTAACAAGCTCTCCTTATCCTTTGGCCCAATAATTCTACTCTGGGGAATTAGTTCAAAGAAATAATCCAAAGGAAGAAAGAAATTAGTGCAAGATGTTCTCAGCAGCCCTATTAAAAAATAAAAGAGAAAATGAAGGAGTGAGGGAGGAAGGGAAGAAGGAAGGGAGTGGGGGAGGGTAAGAAGAGAGGAAAGGAAGAAGAATTTAAACAGCTAATAGTATGAGAATGGCTGACAAAACTATGACATGTTAACATAATGGAATGTTCTATACTACTGAAAAAATGGCAACTATGTAAACCACAGATATATGGAAATGGTTATGAAGAGCACTGGAGAGCTGGTTTAGTGACAATCGAAGTGAAAGGATTTGGTAATTATTTGCTTCAACCCCATGCTCACACCAAAGCCTAGGACATCTCATATTCTTTCTGTACCTTCCCTCAACCTCACTCCCGCTAAGATGAGAGAGCTGTCCTTTATTTTCTCCACCATAGCTTAATATGGTTTTTTTTTTTTTTGCTGATCAACAATACCTAAAATTGTTGTAACTTTCCTATTTCTAAATGAGGGTCTAAATGTATGACAATAGGTTTCCAAGCTTTGCACAACTCGTGCACAATTCACTTTTTAAAACAATGGCATTTTAGACAGATGTCAGCCATTCAAACTTTGCTTTGTCTGAAGACTTTCCTGTTAGGCCCCATCTATCCTGCTCACTCGGTTGTGAGGACTACTAGATTCAAACCAATCTAGCCCTGAACCAACAGGAGCCTGGCCAGACCTATTAAGAGTCCCTTTCCCATTGTGAACAATGTAGGGAAAGACAACGAGTACAGGGAGTAAGAGGACAGACTATGGTTTGAAGCTAATCCAGATTTGAATCCAAATTCAACTACTTAATGTTTGACTCTTAGAAATATTTAAGTTCCCTGGTCCTCAGATTTCTCATCTATAAAGAGAGGCCACTAATGTCTATTTTGGACTACAGAGAGTACTTGGTAGAAATTCAGATTGCTCACAAGCCTGATCACCTTCCATTGTTGGTTCTCTTCTTCACCTCCAAGCCTCTTAGGATGCAACACCCAGGATTATACTACTTAAAACCTCAGAGACAGCTGTCGGAATTATTACGTCCTTTGTTCTTGAAACAGCATTTCCATTAATGAAACCTTGTTTTACATGAGATTTTTGGACAGCTGAGTACCAAATCTTTTCATAAGAACCCTAAATACCCCAAATCTTTTTCACATGAACAGCTCTAAATAGATATCTCTCCATATCCTACATTTATTTGTCTGGCTGGTATGTTTTTGTTTGTTTGTTTTTTTACGTTGAGTGTAAAGGTGTGAGATGGAATATAATGAGTACTGGACTATGAATAGAAGGCTTCGCTTGTCTCCATTTATTCAACAAATATTTATCAAGCACCAACTCTGTACTAGCCCCTGTGCTAGGTATTAGACCTACAATGGTGAGCATGTAGACATGGGCCCTGCCCTCACTCAGAGAACTTATAGTGTAGAAGAAAGACAGGAAAGTAAGCCAACAGTTACAAAACCTATGATGAAGGCTCT
Source organism: Homo sapiens (assembly GCF_000001405.40). Taxonomy (NCBI): domain Eukaryota; kingdom Metazoa; phylum Chordata; class Mammalia; order Primates; family Hominidae; genus Homo; species Homo sapiens. The sequence continues at coordinate 28,095,321 of NC_000002.12, read as the reverse complement.
GCCAGGGAAGGTATAGGCTAGTGTAGGGGCATGGAGGAAAGGCACCTGACCCAGACTTGGTCTAGAAATGCCTCCTGGATATATGTCCTGGCTTTGCCACTCCCAGTGGTTGACTTAACTACCAATGCCTCAGTTTCCTCACCTATAAAATGACGGGACTGCTATGGAGGAAATTTGCCATCAAAATTACAAATGCATTTCCGTTGACCTGGCAATCCTACCACTGGGAACTGGTCCTATAAATAATATCAGCATACAGAGGAAACAATGCATTTACAAGGTTATTCACTTGCAGCACTGTTTATGATAGCCAAAGACTGGCTATCATAAATCATTCCCCTACAAAGGGTGATTTAAGAAGCTATGATACAACACATAATAGACTAATAGGCATTGTGAAAAAAAAAAAAAAAAGAAGAGGGAGCTACGTAGTGGTATGAAAAGATTGCCAAGATGCATTGTTAAGTAAAAACACTGAGATGCAGAGTAGTGTATATAGTATGCCACCTTCTGTGGAAGGAAGAGAATAAATGAGAACATATACTCGCATTTGCATAAAGAAATCCTGGAAAGATACATAAGAAACTAATAAAAGTGACTGTCTATAGAGAACCGGAAAGGGAATGGAGTAGAAAGACATGGGATGGGAGTGAGATTTTTTTCAATGTATATCTTTTTAAACATTTTTGAGTCATATAAAAATATTATCTAACTATTTACATTAATTTTAGGGTGGGACTAGATAATTTGTAAAGCTCTTCCATTCTTAACATTCTATAATTATATAACAATCCACATTTAACTTGTAATAATACAAATATTCATCAGCTTCTTTGTCTATTTGAAAAATGCTTAGTTTATAATTTTTAAAAATAGGATACTTAGGTCAGAACCATATGAATATATTAAAAACACTTCTGTGGCAAACTCAATCATTGCCATCTATCTATATTTAATTTTTAAATCCCTTTAAATGTATTAAAATCCAATAAAGATGTATTGAGTACCTATTCTGGGCCAGACACAGCCACGAACAAGACCAAAAACATCTCTGAATAAAGCATTTATTGTAGTGACCATAAATCATCCTCATTACAGATGTTAATAATGAATTTAAACACAATCATCTCTCTCTACATATAGATATTTGTGTTATTTTAAATTTTTTATTAATTTTTAATAGAAAACTTTGTAGAAAATCTGATTTAAATGTTTTAAATTAAATTTGGGGAAGGGTCAGTCCATTGTTCTGATAATCCAACCTAGGCCTGCACTGAACAGGCTACAAAACACTCCTGGCTATTTCAATGTGTCCTTCAACCTGGCTCAGGACAGAGAACAATTTGGTTATCATTTCCTGCATCAGCCCCCCAGCCTGGCTTCCCATATACACTATTGTACTCCCAATCTGTCAGCAGCATTAATGTTTGATTCTTACGTTTGGTCCAAATATTTCACGATGAAGTCTGTACTTTTGTCTTAACTATTATAACAATTAATTTCTTATCTGTTTCCCTCACTAACTGTGAATAATGTGATGGCTCAGTCCCAATCTTATTCTAAGCCTGAGATGTACAAAGGAGATGTTCAATAATCATTTGCTTAATAGATTTTTAAAAATGAACAAGTGAACAAACAATGGAATAATTAATTCATAACAAAACTAAATTCAAGCTAAATTTAAAAAGTTGTAAAGGAACCAAGAAACCTACAAGGAAATTAACGTTCTATCTTTATTCCTATTACAGGTATACGTCGTAGCCGGCTCTCAGTCCCAAAAGCAGGGTATGGCCATGCAGGAAATAAAGGTTACAGAGTGCTGACATTATGCTGATGACATGCTGTCTTCACCCAAAAAAGGCAAGTGTCTCAGCTAAGATGGTAGTGACTGGTGTGGTACAGTAAAGAAAACTGAATTTGAAATAAAAAGACACAAGTTCAGATCCCACTTTCCTATTTACTAGCTATGACACTCTGAGCAAGAGTTTAACTTTTCTCAGCCTCCCCTGAGCCTTTCCTTCTCTTAAAATGCTAAAACAAAACAAAACAACCCAAAACAGAAAACAAAACAACCTAAAACCAAAACAGTACAAATCTGTCCTGCCTACCACATGGAATTGTTGGGATGAGCATAAAAAATACTCTTTGTGAAAGAGTTTTGTGATAGTAAAGTGGTATACAAATTTAAAGAACAGAAATGATTACTCTTCAAAGCTGGATCAAGATAACTAAAAATAATGATTAAAATTCAATGAGACTAATGTAATAGGGGAAAAGTACATTTTACCTAAAATGTAAGTTCCTAAAAAGCTACCTTTTAATAATTTGATGATAATCATAAAGAATGATCTGAAGATAACACCAGCAAAAGGGCAGTGATCCTATACAGACAGCACACTCAGTGCTATGTGCCCAGGGACTGTCGGATGCTGAGAAGATGAAGACAAAGAAAACATGATCCTATGATCTTGACCCTGTAAGAGCTCACAGTCCAGTAAGGATGGCAAGAATAAGTACAAATGATCAGGGCAGAGAGAGAGAGAGAGCGTGAGAGAGAGAGAGAGAGAGAGAGGCAGAGACGAAGGGAGAGAGGACTTGGATATATTAAGATTAATTGGTTAGGTACAAAATACTATCGAAGAATTAAAAATCATGCTACCCTATTCTTCAACCAGGCTTCTGTTTCAAAGCATCCTGGGGGGCTGTAAAGATTCCTGGGCCCATCCCATGGTATACCTCTGTCTTAAGACTTCTATAATCTCTCTCAGCAATATTTTACAAATTTCACTATAGAGCTCCTTTATATCTTTAAACAAATTTGTTCATATTTTATGCTTTTTGATGCTATTTTAAATGGTATTGTTTTTCTGTTGATATATAGATACTTTTCCAGTTTTTCTGTTAGTATACAGAAATACCATAAATTATTTTTACTACTACCCTTGTATCTTGTCCCTTGCTAAATTCACTCTTTGTCCTAGCAATCTTTTTGTATATTTCATTAGATCTTGTACATACACAATTACAGTGTCTGTAAACAAAGGCAGTTGTACTTCTTCCTTTCCAATCATTATGTCTTTTATTTATTTTTTCTCGTCTTATGGCATTGATTACAAAGTTGAATAGAAAAGTCATAAGAGTGTACATCCTTGCCTTTTTCCTGATTTACTTGGTCATAATGCATTATGATTACCTTTTTAAAAATAATATTCAGTTCTGTTTTCTAGTGTTTTTCTAAAGCTTTCTGTATCTATGTGCTCATTCACGAGGTATAATGGTTTGTAATTTTCTATTCTTGCAACATCCTAACATCCTAGATAGATTTTGGTACAAAGAGTTATTCTTACCTCATAACAACTATTGAGGTTCTATTGGACTACCTTGATAGACTGAAATTTATAGCTGATTTTAGCAACATGCAGACTAAAAATACCAAGCCCAGGGAATGGCTGTGACATTTTATGTGTAAGGTAATTCAAGAAATTATTATATATGCATATTACATGCAAAGTATTTATTGACAAAATATTATTTTCCCAAGTATGCATAAGGAAAAAACTAAGCCACATTTCACTTTAGTTTCATAGTTCCTAGTTCTAATCACTTACCCACATAGACAAGGAAGAAAGGATTGTGTTTATTTACCTTTTATATCTTTATAGTTCTCTAAGACTCAGAAAGAAAACTTCTCCAAGTTTATTATTATTTTCAGTTCAAGTATAATTCTCCTGTACTCTCTTGATATTCATTTCAGATGCAGCAAAGTCTAAAACTGGAAAGAGCTTTGGAGATCACCAACTTAACATCTTTGGTATTTTAAAGACGGATGAATAGGTCAAGGTGAGAAATGAGTTCTCCAGTGTCATCCAGCCCTTTGATATCACAGGCAGAGATGGAACTACTCCTTCCCAACCCTATAATAATAAAAATAGTCTACTCTCCTCATCCCACACCCTTTCCTGATATATCCTATGCAAATGCAACAGAAGATACTTTGCAACTGTGAGATGCTAATACCTATGTATCACCTATCCATCTGGTTAAAAGACTCTCTATTAAAGGAGTTTGTATTTTTTTCGCATCATTTAAAATCAAGGACAGTACTGATTGGCATAAGGCCCCATTTTTATTGTTTTAGGACTAGAAAACAAAAGGCTTAATGGATATTAAAGCTAACATGAAAACAAATTGACTTTCTTATCTTTATAGAAAATCTGAAATTAAAAACTTCAATTTATAAGGGTAGTATAAATGGAAAATATATTGTTAAGGCTCAGGTATTAGGAAAATAACAATCATTATGGTAGATGAAAAAAACACTGATATCCAATATTTCTATAGCACTTGGCAGTTAAGAAAATATTTTTTGTAGATCTCATTTGATCCTCCCAAAATGCAGGAAAATAGAAAAATAAATAATGTATCCTAATTTTCAGGGTGAGAAAACAGGTTCAGAAAGTTAATTTACTAAAGTTTACACTAACAGCAAATGGCAGATCTGGAACTTGAACCCTTGTCCTCTAAAGCAGAGAACAAAATAACGCTACTAACCCCTGGGCCCTTTGGTTGGCTGAACATAAAATTTACACACAAAATGTCCAGAGGTAAACCAGAAGACATCTCTATCTTAAAGAATAGAGATCTTAAAGAAGTATAATAATCCCCGGGGAATGACCCTAAGCTAGAAGCATACCTATGTATTTCAACTTCAAAATTAAAGATTCCGATAGGTGCTATCTACAGGAAAGAAAATACGGACATGAAAACAACAGCTAGAAACTGCTGGGTGCAGTGGCTCACACCTGTAATCCCAGCACTTTGGGAGGCCAAGGTGGGCAGATCACGAGGTCAGGAGTTGGAGACTATCCTGGCCAACACGGTGAAACCCATCTCTACTAAAAATACAAAACTTAGCCGGGTGTGGTGGCGCACACCTGTACTCCCAGCTACTCAGGAGGCTGAGGCAGGAGAATCACCTGAACCCAGGAGGGGGAGGTTGCGGTGAGCCAAGATCACGCCACTGCACTCCAGCCTGGCGACGGAGCGAGACTCCATCTCAAAAAAAGAGAGAGAGATAATTTACCTTTCTCAAGGATTTACAAGGAACTACATGCTTTGTGGCAAATACAAGCACTCTGTCATTTGGCTATGTCATGATTACTACCTTTTACTCATGTACTAGGAGTTAAGAAGTTAAAAGCATAATACCTGTTAACAAAGACAGGTAAAAATTATTCTAAGATTAATCTGAACACGGAAATGGAAAAATTCTGACTAATGTATTATATCTGTGCTCTGCTAACTTGTCTGAGGACACAGAAGACTGTCAGAATAATCTAAATAATAGTAATATAAATAATATAAATAATAAATCCCTAAATCTTTCTATAAAATAATGCTAACTCATAAAACACACACAAAGAAAAAAAATACCACAGAGTTTAACAATGATAACTGGTAGGTAATTTCAAAACAAACATTAATCGCATTGAAGGTAATTTGTGGACACTAAATTTTTTAACAGCATATTTAACTTTACTGCACTGAATACAAAATCAGAACCATTCTGCCATTATGTAACTAGTGGAATATTAAGTCTTCTTACTCATAAGATTTGAAATCAGAGGACCTTTATTGAAGTAGCTGAGCTAACAACACTGGTTTATGAGCCTGGGCAAGTTACTTAAAGTGCACAAAGTGTTTCCTCATCTGTAAGATGTAGATAATAAAAATATCCATTTTTTTCTTGTCAGGTTATCATAACTTCAAAAGTAATAATGCATTTCATTATCTATTACAATGCCTAGAAATCTATCACTTAGGTTCTGGCCCAAAATCTGACTGTGAAGAAAAGAAAGAAAATCAGGTGCTAAAGTTGTATTTTAAAATCACTTAGCAAACTGCCCTCAAGACCTCCAGCATTTAGACTAGTGCTAGCAGAGAAAGAGGTGGCCAAGACATAGTTGTTAAATGGAAAAATGAAGCTAGTCTACAGTGATTTTCACTTTTGAATTGCAATATTTGTTATTCTTCCATAGGTTTGGCTTTCCGCGCTTTATTTCTCTAGGTACCATGTCTGTGGATGTTGGTTTGATCACAGCCATCCCAGCCTTATGTAAACAATGGGTAGTCAATATATTCATGTCAAAGGAATGAAGGAGAGCTCTTTCCTCACTGAATCACAGACACTTGGGGCCAGGAGAGTTCGTAAAAATTAAGTATTATGAAATGACGTTTTGACCACTTGTCTTTGTCCCTTTTCAATAAAAAGGAAAAAAAAAACCCTAAATGCACTACTTTTACAATATCTTTTGGTAAGTTACTAGGCCAGGCACTGATTTAGAGACTTAGGATACAATGGTGAATAAAAGAGGCTGCCTCTCCTCTTAGTGCTTATGATTTGTCACATCAAGGCAGGTACACACACACAGATGAACATGGCCTGCTAGTGGCTACAGAATCCCCACAAGATATGTATCGAGATGACAGTGGGTATAGAGATTGCTTTTCCAGATTGGCCCTCAAGATCCAAATGGATTAGGAATAAACATACTTGTTTCCTTTAAAGCAGCAGCTCACAACCTCAGCAATACATTGAAATCACCCTGGAGAGCTTTAAAAACTATAGATGCCTTTGTCCCCCTCCCAGAGATTCTGATTTAATTGGTCTGGGGTGCAGCCTAGATTGGGAGTTTTTAAAGCTCCCCAGGTATGGTCACGGTTGGGCAACACTGGCTTAGAGCAGCTCAGAATTTCCTAAATAACCACCCTGTCCTACAAAAGTCTCCTCACCTGGGAGAACAGAATAATTGCAGAAGCCCAAGGGCCATCTTCGTCCACACCTGTAGCTCCAGAGCAGTCACCTTTAAGCCCTAGGGTTAGGCAAGGGATCCTAAGAGCAAGTTTTAAGAGAATCACTGGAGTTGTAAAGAACTATGGCAGTCACCACCTTATGTACCCCAATGGCAAATGTCAGGAGAAAACAGTCATTTAGGATTCTAAACATCTGGATGAGAACAAGCTGAAAGAAAACAAACTAAAAAGAGAATATTGTAAGTACTAGTGATTAATTATAGATACACACTTGTTTTCTGAGTATTCTTAAACACTTTTTACTGTAGAATTGTTAAAAAAAAATAAGAAAATACAAATAGAGGGAAAATATCACCATAATCTATGACATCTATGTAAGCCAGACTTCTTTCCTGTGTGTGTCTATGTGTTCACATAAACAAAATTTAGAGATTTATGGTACAAATTCTGTTTTGTAGTGGACTATTTTCAGTTAACAAGATATTGTGATGAAGACTTCTGGTTGAGATGACAGATTAAACTACCGAAAGCATTACTGATTTATTAGAAACAAAACCTCGGCCAGGCATGGTGGCTCATGCCTGTAATCCCAGCACTTTGGGAGGCCAAGATGGGCAGATCACTTGACGTCAGAAGTTTGAGACCAGCCTGGCCAACATGGTGAAACCCTGTCTCTACTAAAAATACAAAAACTAGACAGGGCATAGTGGCGCACGCCTGTAATCCCAGCTACTCAGGAGGCTGAGGAGGGAGAATCGCTTGAACCCAGGAGGCAGAGGTTGCAGTGGGCCAAGATCATGCCACTGCACTCCAACCTGGGCGACAGAGCGAGACTCTGTCAAAAAAAAAAAACACCTCATATTGAGGAAGCCCCCAAAGGTAAAATAGAGGTACTGGCAGTTGCAGTGAGAGGCAAGGCTAAAAAGAGGAGTAAAAATCTGTGTAAGCTTGCAAAACGGTGAGAACCCCTCGTACGACAGAGGGCCCAGAAGCTTCATGTTCTCATTAGCTTCAGCCTCCAGCAATTCATCAAAATCTCTAGTTTTCCTACAAGGATCTAGTGGCTTCTGCCTCAGGTAAGCAAGTGCTGACATCCTAGGACTCACTGAGAGCTCCTGTCTCTATCCACATTTCAGGATAGCTGTTTGTTCTGTTGCCTTAGTTCTCTGATGAGTCCATGAAAATCTGTCTGTCCAGCTTTTTTCTTGTGGTAAAAATGGGACCTACATCATTCCAGCTCTTCAGATCACAGAGCTGAAACCAGAAATTCATTCCTTGGCCTCCAGGAGCCAAGCCTTATATGTTCTTACACTCCACATCCATCCCCAGATATGAGACCAAAAATTTATTTTCTGGAGAAATTGAAAACTCCTCCAGAAATGGCCAACTGATGCTGGCATTTGAAGATCTCTCAATGAAGAAGACAGCTCACTCCTGGTCTTCTCATAGTTAAGCCCTCAATTAACAAGGATGCTTCTCTGCTAATTATGATTTGCTTAAACTGATATTAAAATTAATTTTGCATTCCCGGAACAAAAATAGATTAGGAGATTGCTCAAGTATGGTGGCAAATCAGAGGAAAACCAAGATGAGATAAATGTTTCTTTTTTCCTAAGTTAGAAAGTAAGTAATTAGAAGTGGACTCTATACAGATATTTTGAAGATACATGAAGCTATGGGAAACAATTCAAGAAACTAAATTAGAAACAGAAGATGTGCTGGCGATTTTTAAGAGCACTGTCGTGCTTATGTGAAGAATTTTTGAAATTATTAACTTGAAGGGAAGGAAAAGTGCATCTTAAATAAGTTCTTACATTGTTATTTCTGTCTAAGTACAGTTTTACAGTAGTTAAATAAAAGAATCATAAGACTAGAAAAATAGATAAGGCCCTTGAAAACATATTTCAATATTCTCCTTCCTTCAGGCAAAAGAAGACCTCTATCAGCTCACAAAAGTTACTATTTGCTAGGTTAGACGCAAAAAAACTTTTTTCAGCCCTCAAACAGGTATTCACATGCATTGAACAGGTATGTATGCATAAACTTGTCCATCTGTAAAGTAAAACTGTAAATGCCCCCAAGATGGGAGCATGTTTACGTTGAGGTCTAAATTAATTCATTGTGGTGAATAAACAAGTAATAAAATAAAATTAATTAGGAAGAAAAAAAGACTGTTCTACGAACTCAAAGACAAATTATTTATATTTTAAAGCTCAAGGTAAATTTTCTCTGTACTTGGAAGTTGTGTAAATGTGTTAGTACACTGGGTCATATACAAATCAGCATATTCTTGGCTATGAGATTTTAACAGATAGATTCAAATTCTTCCATCTATTTGTCTAAGCTTTAAATTCTATTTTTTCTGCACTTGGGCATATCCTGTCTACAAATTACAGACGGACAAGTTCATTTGAAAATTGACTAATTAAAATATATTGATCATAAAATATGTACTGTTATCTTTTTTCCTTAACACATCCTAAAGCTAATCTTAGCTGAAAATGTGTAAGTACTTATCCCTGTACAGCATAAGACAAGAATATAATTCAATGAAACCTTTACAAAATGTCAGATTAATTACATTTTTTCAGTGCAGATGGATTTAAGGAAATCATCTCTGAAAACAGTACTTCATTTAAAGTAAAATAAAGACATAATCTTCTCTGATAAGTCAATGTGTAGGAGATGCCAAAATATTAAAACTGCCATATATTAAAATGCTTTGGTATGAATTTTTCAAATAATTACAAGTAGTGTATGATGATCCTGAGGCAATACCCTAGAAACACTAAAGTTTTTATGGGTAGCACAACAAGAAGAATCAATTGCATGACACACGAGAAATAAACTGAATCATGTATGGCTAAAAATCTTAAATTTTAGAGAGGTCATTAGTCTATAAGTCAAGTAATATGTTAAATATTCATTACTTTGACAAGCATTTATCATCTAAAATATATAAGTATTCAAATATTTCTGTAACTCTGAACATCAAGTTAATATGAAGTTGACCACATAGGCAAATTTTACGTCTCCGTCTACACAGGTCAGCATGACATTTCTCTAAAATGACTTCTTTATGAGGTTTTGAAATTCAGTGCCATAGAAGTCAGATGCATAAATCATTCCTGCAGAATACATTTATAATGTACCATTCATTGTGCAATGCCTTCATGTTTTGGTGGACTTAAAAGATTTACTGTTACTTGAGTAAAACATTAACAGAGACAAAATATTTATCTCTTTGTTTAATAAAGCTTAATATGCACCTTAAAACAATTTACATTTATGTATTTGTTAACACAATACAAGTAATGTTCTATTCATCCCCAACTGAAATTTGTTATTTAAAACATTTCCTATGCCATGTCTAACTAAAAATGGCATTTTAAAGCTGTATTCAAGTTAGAAAATACACAAAATAGAGAAGTTAAAAAGTATAAAACTGGATGGTAATGTTTTCCTTTTATTGTTTCTAGTACTGTTACCCTTCATTCTGTAAGAGCTGTCTTCTTTCCGTTTTTTTAAAACCCAAATAAAGAAGTTAATTTTGTTGACTTCTAATACTTCACTAAGTAAAATGACGCTGGGAGTGCCTGAATACACATTCTATCTTTTAAAATAAATCACACAGGTCTGGCAAAGTGTCAAAAATGTAGACAGTTAAGGTTACGTTAAGTTCCTCTCTTTTTCATGGTTTCTTAATAGACTATGAGAAGGCAGAAGGGCTCCTCAGGCCAAGTTTTCACGTCTCATGGCCCCTAAACTACTGTGTAGAACGGTCAGAGTCTACACTTGGCTCCCTGGATTCATTCCATGGATCAAAGCTCCAGGATTACCCTTTCCAGCAACAGATGACAATGCTAACAGCACAAAAGGCATCAACACTATCTCTTCAGGAAACTACCCAAAATGAAGACACCCAAGGGTACTTGAATGACACACATTTTTTTTCTTCCAATGCCCCTGGCCTCCCTCAATACCCATAACCCTAGAAAAGAGGAAAGTAATTGATCCATAGATTCCATCCAAGTTCTGCTTTCAAACACAACTCCATACACACACACAAAGTGGTGAGCAAATTCTATCTATACACTTCTATAATAACTGACATTCATATTTTCTTCTGGAAAAATGCCCTATCTGCCTTTACCACTCACATCCCTGAGGTATCCTATGCACACTGCCTCACCAAACGACACCTCTCCCTTCCAAGGCCAGCTATGATTTCTCTCTTAACGCACTCTTCAGAGGCCTTTCCAGGCCTGTTATTCTAATCAACTTGGTAGTTCCTACTACTTTCCTACCTTTAGACCCTCTCCAAGTCCTTAGTACAAGTATAAAAATCCTGTATGGTTGCCGCTGTGTCTCTATCATCCATGTGTACAACAGGAACTATCATAACCCTGGAGTGAGAAGGAAAAGACAGCCACGCTACCCGTCAAGCGCATCTTACTCTGCTGTGCATCACAAGAGAGGGCAGGACACCTTTAAGGTAACCAAATTCATGGTTAGAACCAAGTGTATAATAACAAAATGTTACTAAAATTAGGTAGGTTTGTCTTCATTATTAATTCACAGAAAGGGAAGGGGGGCTATGTGTTTTATTCTCTTTCTAATTGTCCTTACTACCTACTTAACACAGGTCACTGTGCTCAATAAATACAGATCACGAAATGACCAAATATATAGATACACAAGTAAAGAAACATCATCTATATCAAAGATGGCCACTCGCTGGGACAAAGATAAGAGTCAGTATCTAGTTACCCACAGGCCAAATCAGACCTCAGGAACACAAACACTGCTAGGTAATGTTTTATTCATCAATCTCCCAGGGACAATGATAGTACATACACAGCAGCAATAACATCAATCGGTTCAGTAAAAATAAGAGGCAAGATCATGTCCCAAGAGGAAGGGAGGGCTGGTTAGGACTGGAAGCATAAGGAGACTAGAAAATAGGAAATATTTAATAGTTATTAAAACAAATGTGCTGAAGAATTGATAACTACTGTTAAGCCATACAAAGGGCCCAAAATAAAATTAGAATCACAAATTTGTAGTGGGCCAAATCAGTACGGTTCTCAGATTGCTTCTAAAATGTTCCAACAGCAGATTGCAAAAAGCGGGAAAGCATGCAGTGACTATCACAGTGGACAAAGAACGTGATTAGGAGGGTTGAGGAGGTGGTACTGAAGTAGTAGGTCTTTGAGACAAGGCTAAGCATGCAATCAGCAGAGTCTAAGAGTGAATGACTGAAGGCACAGATCTAGCTCCACAGATGTGGAGGAGTGGAAGAAGCAGCAGTTCAGGACGTGGTAAGCAGAGAAAGAGAGTACTGATATTTTAGAAACAGAGCAGTGATGATGAAGTACAAGGTGCAGCAAAAAGGAAAGGTGGGGAGCAGAAATGGAGCTGGAAAGACTCTAACAGGCTGAAGAAGGATGAATGGATCATCATTTTACGTGCCAGAATTGGGGAGGATGATGGCAGAGGATGGAGAGAAGATAAGACCCAGGTACTGAGGTTGTCTAGCAAAGTGGGAATGAGTCTAGGGTTGACAGAGTCAGCAATGATTACTGAAAAGAGTGGTGCATGTGGACAAATTATTAGGTTTTAATATTTTCACAGTATATCAGGAGAAGTGAGAAAGGTGAGGCCTCCACAGCAACGAACAGAATCAATTTTCAGTAAAGACAAGAGGCAGCAGAAAAATTACTTACAAGTGAGGGAATTACAACTCCAGATGAAAGAACACTATTTCTGGTTACTATTAAGTTGAATGAATTAATTAAGCATAGAGTCTACTAGTAAAATACTCTGAAAACCTGTAAACTAAAGAACCATGAAAATAGCAACCATCCAATTCCTTAACTGTGATCATTATCTGAGGATTCACATGCCAAGCACTATAGGAAGTGCTTCACAGGCATTATTTTATTTCATCCTCACAACTTAACACTGTGAGACAGGTATTAGATTCATTTTAGAGAAGAGGATACAAAGGCATAAATAAGTTAAATAACTTGCCTAAGGTCAGAGTCAGTGACAAAACTGGGACTGGAACTCAAGGGTAACTGATAGCCCTTGCTGTTCTTAAGCACCAACAGAATTCAGATGACATATTGCCTTTTCCAGTATTTCTGCTCTTCTTTTTATCTTTAAAATGTTTCTTTGAAAGCTATGAAATACCAGTGCTCAACCACATCAGACAACCAATACCACAAAACTATTTGCTTTATACTGAGAACGCACTGTAGTGCCTTCCTTGGAATGCAACACTTTTAACCTAAAACTGAAAAATATATCACGCTGAAAAAGAATTGCTCTTCACTTTCAAATTACTGATATCAGGGTGAATGGCTTGTTCTTCTGTGCATGGTTGTTTTTTTTCCCCCATAGCAATATGCCACTGTCACATCATGAAATCTTAGGCAGCTACTATTGTTTAGTTTCAATATGTTTCCTTACCTCCAAAGAAAACAATCAACTCTAAGTTGTCTCCACTTCATTACTAATAATTTATTATTAAAAAGCACAAAATGCATTGCACATTATTACTTTAGTTCTTATGCATAGTAGATAATTGTTTTTTATTAAAAACTGCATGTAAAAACATCTTTAGGACATTTGATAAAACATATCCCCATGCCTTTTTGTTATCCGTATCATGTCCACACCTAGAGAATGAGGCAGGTTTGACCTTCTGAAAGGTAATGGGTCTGAAACAAACTAAAGAAATTATGGGCCTCTTTTCATTTGGCTTAAAAAGGGATTTATGATCATTTCTGTTCAACAACCTAAATTCATTTAGGGCTGAAGTGAGGGAAACAGAGGAAAGGAAGTGGGAGTAGCGTAGCATTAAGAAACGCTGAGAAGGGCCCAGTGTGAATTAGGCTAGTGGAAATGCAGACTCTTAAGATGTGCTAAAGCCTGATAACCACTTTTAGTGTTTTCAAATCCACAATTCCCACGCATTCATCTTATTCAGTGGTGATGTCTACAATGTTAAAGTTGCCACAAGATACACTGAAAGCAACATTTTCTGTACCAAGTAATTTGATTCACAGAAAGCATCTTCTCAACACAGTGGACCTTGCCTGGTCTTACGTACAAATTGGGAATCAGGTAAGTGTGGCTCTAGCCTGCCTACAACAATCGTCTGCACCACAGGCTTGGATAAGTTCTTCTTCTAGAAAAGAAGCAGCTCCTACTTGCCCTGTATATCTTAAAGGGCTGTGAGAAGAAGCACATGCAGGCGCTTTGCCCTGGGGAGAGTTACATGTAGAAGGGACTCTGGATGGAAGCAGGCGCTCTGTGACCAGCCTGCCAGTCTGCGAATCTATGTGGCTGGCTGCACTACGTTTTCCTGCCCTCCTCTCCCCAGCTATAGGAAGATTGTTTTGTAGGCTCATTATTGCTTCACCAACTGCTAGGAAGGAAATATTTCTATGCAATAAAAATTCTTTTGGTGTTTTTTACTCCCTTCTCATCCATGCAAAACAGGAAAGCATGATACATTGCCTTTTATGGTAACAAAAGATCCAGACGAAGGTTCTTAATGTTCTTAGACAATTGTGCTCACATTATTACCACAACACTTTCCTAACTTCACTGTTTGAATAGGAAAAAAGATGCCTTACATGCTCCAAGCTTAATGTATCTCCAGGGAAGATATATCCTGACAAATGTTTACTAAATCAGGTCACGGATTAATCAAATAGGGAGTTCACTGAAATAATAAAATTAATATGCTTGCAGATGGCTACTTAAAATGAGAATGCCAAGGTAATTGTAAGTGGTTTTAAAAGCAGTTTTCTTTTCTCTTTCAAATATTTGAACCATGCTCTTAACAATGTAGTCTACAGAACACAGGCACAGATTGGTCTCTTCTAACATGATTACTGCTTTTATTTACATGTTGTTCAACAGCCATCACCAAAAAAAGCCATCATCAGACTAGTATCTCATCTCAAGGAGTACCTACCATCTCTCTCATTATATCTAGAGATTTTTGAGGCAGGTAGTCTATAGATCCTTTTGCCTCATCCAGGTAGTCTATCCTATAGACAAATTTTGGTACTGAAATCACCTCTCTCTCCTTCTCTTTTCAATGCTCTGATTACATACATTATAATCTGTTTTCATTTAAGGAAATGAAACACATGTCCTTAATGCTTTTTCTGAAATGCTGGATGGTACAGTTATTTTTAAATGAGTATCACAGAATTTTAAGGCTGAACCTCAGAGATTATCTAGTTCACTTTTGAAATTAAAGATAAGACTGGAGCTCAGAGAGGTTTCTTTACTTTCCCCAGAGTCACACCATTAATTAAAGACAAATATGATAAAAGATGCCCAATTTAACTACTTTTAAAAATCTAATCTAAAAATCTGAATGTACAAATATTATTCTTTGTATAGAAGGAGTGGCTGAAGGGTTTCTTAAATGGTGAGCTCCTATAGTTTCTTTTTAAGAATTCACTGTGCAAAACAGTGTATACTAACCCTGCAGAAATATATCTACAGTATAATGTTAACTATGAGCCTAGATTTGTAATTTATTTTTTAGGTAACATATTTTTAAAATAGTATAATATAACTTTTATTGTTAATACCACTACAAATAAAACATTAAGATAATTCCGGCTTTTTCAAAGAGTTTATGTGAAAACGTAAACCCTAACAGTTTATTTTCTAATGTCTATGACACTGTCTCAATCAGTGAAATGAAATCCACCCACCTTTACTTCAAATTAAAGGCAATGCTTACATTTACAGAGAATTATGTTCCTTAATAAGCACTGTAAATCCATACAATGTAATTAGGCTGGATTTCCCATGAAAATAAGTATGAAGGTAAGGTACCTGACCAAAGGCCTAGAGCTCAATTTAATTTAAAAAATATACAACGATCAGACCATTGTATTTGAACAGTGAAATAATATGCTTATTTACTGCAATTCAAAAATTAGTCATAAAACTTTTCTTTAGTAAGCTATATTTACTAATAAAGGAAGCAAAGAGCTTTTATTTTACCTCTAATTCCTGCCTCTCTTGTACTACAACAAAAAGAAAACAAATAAACACTGTCATTGGAGTAATCAAATTCTGAAGACTTTCTCTAGAAATATGTGCAAGAGTTTGGTTTTTTTCCCTTAGATGAAATAGTCTAATCACTGATATAATGAATGCCAATCTAGCCACCATGCAGATAAAGAAACATAACATGAAATACAAAGGAAGGGCCTGTGTAGCCCCTTACCTTTCTCATCCCCTTACCTACTACCCCTGCCAGGTATCCACTATTCTGAAATTTCTGTTTTGAGGAAACTCTGGCACACTTAATGGTTCTTGAGAAATGATTTTATTGCCATTTTTTCTTTCTGCAATTTTTTCTATATAAATTTAGAAAATAAGTTGCTAAAGAAGTAGGATCAGTATTTCCCAATTTCTTGGAGAATATGTGTTAATTTGTGTGTTCAGCTGACATAACAATGAGAGTTGAAAAATTGGTTCATGCTGGAAATATGATTAACTGTAAATAAATCTAAATGAGAACCACTTGTTTAATGATTAACGAAGGAAGGATGGAAGGACAGAGGAAGGGAGGAAGGGAAGAAGGAAGGCTAACCATTCCAATGGATATAAGAAATGCCTTCATGCTAAACCCTTTCAAGTTTATAGTTCCACCTCAGTTTCTCTTCTGAATGCCAGACTTGCATATCCTAGCTACTGGACATCTCCACCTAGATGTCTGAAAGGCAATTCCAAATCAACACTGCCAAATTATTATAGAAATCTTGATCAACACCTCAGTGTGCTCACCCCCACCCAAACCTATACCCCACTCTAATCCCCATTCTCCCATCTAAATACAATAGTCCTTCCTTATCCATGGGAAACATGTTCCAAGACCTGCCAGTGGATGCCTAAAATCATGGATAGCATCAAACCCCCTATATACTATGCAAAAAATTCATTTTCCTTCTTCATAATTTCATGGATAGATGATTCATTCTTACTGTAAAGCTTAGCAACCTCAGCATAGGGTTTTTTTCTTTCATTATTAATTCTAGAACTTTCACCTTTTCACTTAAAGCACTTTACGGCTTGTGTGGCATGTCTGAATTGCCAGCATCCCTACTCTTGCACTTTGGGGCCATAATTAAGTAAAATAAGGGTCAACTTAATTCAAGCATTGTGGTACCAGCAACAGCAGATCTGATATTGGTTATATCAGACATCCATAAAGAGATATGATATAACCAATATCAGATCTGCTAATTGGCTACTAAGTGATGGAAGGGCACGCAGTGTACACAGCTAGAGCAAAGTGGCTTGTACATTGTGAAGATGCTGGACAAAAGGACAATTCACATCTTGGGTGGGACAGAGCCGGATGTCATGAGATTTCATCATGTTACTCAGAAGAGTACAAACTTTAAAATGTATAAATTATTAATTTCTGGAATTTTCCATTTAATTTCTTTGTACAATAGTTGACCCAGGTAACTGAAATCCCAGAAAGTGGAAAAGAGGATGGAGGTACTACTGTAAATGGCGCAAACATCTACCCAGTTACTTAAGCCAGAAACCAAGTGGTCATCCTTGTTTTCTCTCTGTTGGTATTTAATTTTCTTGATATAATCATGAATTTTATGAAAACTATGTTCAACATTGTCCTGTCTTTCCAAGATATTGTCACTCTAGAGAATCAAGAAAAGGAAGTCTGATAACATGATATAGTGTTTTTGATGTAATTCCTGAGAATTTTCTTTGGGGTGGAGTTGAGGGAGTGAGAGGGAGGTTAGGAAATAAAGAGATAGGATCAAACATGGTATTGCTAGAAATTCTGGGTGTCACAACAACCCACAATGAAGAGTATTTGTTCTTCAAAACAGAAGATAGTTGTCCCCTCCCCTCAAAAAAACCCTAACTGTAATCTTCCTCTAAAATAATATTTATTTGGGTTTAAATTATCTCAAAAATAACAGCCTTTATCCTTAGAAGTTCTAGAATCCTATGTCAAGTTTTTTGTGAAATAAACAGCTCCTCTGTACACTACCTCTTCTGGAGTCTGTAATCAAGGATAATTATACTATGGAATA
Organism: Homo sapiens; assembly: GCF_000001405.40. Lineage (NCBI taxonomy): Eukaryota > Metazoa > Chordata > Mammalia > Primates > Hominidae > Homo > Homo sapiens. Next base: position 28,077,394 of record NC_000002.12, on the reverse strand, counting down.
AAAGCCAAAAGTTAATACAATTTTAATAGCAGCTTACAGACTCCATAAAAATATTTTAAGTTCATAAAGCATATAGGAACGAAACACAATAGTCTTATCTTAAAACTTTAGTTCTTAAAAAGGAAAAACTTAATTTAAATATGCTGTAAGAAGATATTCAAATATAGCAGGTTGTGCTTATTGTTACAAACATTTATGTACTTTTATAACTAACTCGTCTCTCCATTCCTATTAATTATTAATTACATTTAATACTATTGTTAGAAAGTAGGCAAAGCTCTGGGTAATTTTAGTGTTTGTCTCTAAAACCTAAAGGCTGAAAAGGCCTGTCAGCCTCTAAAAATGAAAGACAGTGGCATTTGAGAGAATATTTACAGATTTTCTAAGTCATTTACCCCTACTGCCAATTTCTAATTAATGAAAGAATATATCAAGTTGATAAAACCTTGCTTATCACCTAAATTAGGCAATGATATACAGATGAATAAGGCATGGAGCCTGTCCTTAAAGAGTGCATGGTACAGAAATATCTTTATACAAAGTAAAAAGAGAAAATTGAGATGATAAAACTTTCTATTAAAAATGTTCAATGGGCTGGGCGCGGTGGCTCACACCTGTAATCTCACTTTGGGAGGCCGAAGCGGGTGGATCATGAGGTCAGGAGATTGAGACCATCCTGGCTAACATGGTGAAACCCTGCCTCTACTAAAAATACAAAACAAAACAAAAAAAATAGCCAGGCATGGTGGTGGGCACCTGTAGGCCCAGCTACTCGGGAGGCTGAGGCAGGAGAATGGCACGAACCCGGGAGGCAGAGCTTGCAGTGAGCGGAGACCGCACCACTGCACTCCAGCCTGGGTGACAGAGCAAGACTCTGTCTCAAAAATAACTAACTAACTAACTAACTAACTAAATAAATAAATAAATAAATAAATATAAAATAAAAATTTTCAATGGTTATCTAGGATTTAAATGATCTCAAATACAGTATATGTTGAATTACTGAAAGAGGAGTTGTTGCCATAAAAATTTTTTATCTAAAATGTTTTATCTAAAAATATTTTATCTAAAATTTCATTTAAAAACAGGGATGAGATTTTCTTTTCTTTTCTTTTCTTTTTGAGAAAGGGTTTTGCTCTGCCACCCAGGCTGGAGTACAGTGGTGCCATCACAGCTCACTGCAGCCTTGACCTCCCAGGCTCAAGCGATCCTCCCACCTTAGCCCCCTTGTATGCTGGAATACAAGTGCATGCCACCATGCCCAGTTAATTTTTATATATTTTTATTTTTTGTTGTAGAGACAGGGTCTCCTTATGTTGCACAGGCTGCTCTCTAACTCGTGGGCCCAAGTGCTCCGCCCACCTTAGCCTTCCAAAGTGTTGGGATTACAGGCATGAGCCGCCACACCTGGCCCAAAATTTCCCACCTCAAAAAATTTTAATTAAATCTAATAAACTACAATATACAACATATTTATTTAGTATATTGTATATAACATATACAATATAAAATAAGCTATACAAAGGAAAGAAAAAATACATGAGACAATGTGGAAGTACAGAGTCTCTCATTCAAATGAAGTGAAAATAATAGTTCTATTATAGTTTCAGGAATCATAAATTCTAAAAAGCATTTGAATTAGCTGCCTATTTGCAGTGACTTCTGACATATAAGTAGCAAATACTGCATACTGCATTTAAGCAATTAATCAGAATGATTTTCCATTATCTATCAAAACTGTGAAACATGAGATTTATACAATCAGCAAAAGCAGGTGACGGCCCCTAAAAAGACACACTGCATGCACACACACACGCACACACACACACACACACATGCACAGAGAAAGAGAGAGAGAGAGAGAGAAAAACGTGATGTTTTTGTTTTTATAGAGGCCATACTTTGAAATTTAACCTTACTTTTATTCTTTCTTACCTAAACACAAATATTCTTTGCTTAGAAGGGAACAGCATTATGTATTGGGAGCCACTGTTTACTAAAGGAGTAGGGCCTCAAAGTTATACAGCTCTATTACTAATTTGTTAGGAGCCTGAAGGCCCAGTTAATCTGCACTTAAAAGAAAAAACAACAACAAAAAACCTAAACAGCCTTCTCAGCTTTTACAGAGGTGCAGTCCAATCCAGACAGTTGTGTGTCCCAGCAGCTAAGTCCAAAGTGTCCATTGTGATCAAGGAAAAAGGCTTGCTTGTTAGAACTTGTATTAGCTAAATTGGGTGCACTCGGTATTAAAAACGGAGGCAGGCAAGGGCAACAGCTGCCTTCTTAAGACTTTGTAGTAAGGAAAATCTTCAGGCATCAATGCAGATGTGTCCCCAAGGGTCCGTGAACTGAAAAAAATCTGTGACTACTCTAAGCATGTCCTAGGGGAGCTCCATCAACTTGCCCTCCTTTTTCTTGGTCTATATCAAACCTCCCACTTCCAAAAATCTTGGAAGAAGAATGAACTTCTTTAATAAATATCAATTTAGTGAGATGTACACTAAAAGTACAAATAAAGCCTATTATTTTCAAGGAAAACTTACATCTCAAACAAAGCTTGAAAAGCTAAATTCACCTAAATAAATGGAGAGTCTCGGGGTGGTGAACAGGCACCCTCCACTGGTCCTGGTCAGCTTGGCTGACCATTCTGTCCCATACGTACTTCACGCTTTTCACCTCCCCTCACCCCAACTAATGCCATGGAGGTCAGTAAAGAAAAAAGATAGTGAGAAAGTCCACAGAAAGGGAAATCAGTCCACTGAAAATTTATCAACAGTATAATACGGCATGACTTCTCATATAGGGGTTAGGGAAGTAAAAACCCTGTTTTATTCACAAACATACAAACACATAAAAGGCTAAATTTGAATTTTGCTTTGTAAGTCCTGGTCCTAGACTCCCTTCTCAGAATTAAGGCACTCTGTATCTGTTGAATGAATATTCAGTGGTTTTCAACCAGGGGTAATTTTGCCCTCCCGGGGACATTTGGCAACATCTATAGATATTTTTGGCTATCACAACTTGGGGGCAGGAGGGGAATTACACTAGCATCTGGCAGGCAGATGCCAGGAATGCTGCTAAACATTCTATAACATACATGATAGCCCCCAGCAAAAATGAATTATCTGGCCAAAAATGTCAATAGTGCTGAGGCTGAAAACACTGGGTAAGAGAATAGCTATTTGTCACAAATAAATTCATGTCTACTTTCTGAATTGTCCACTACCCCAATTCCTAATGGCCCCAGCAATTTCTTCCAAGTATAACCAGATCTTTGAGCACCAGTCATAAAAATTATAGGAAATGTAAACTGACAGAATATCCTGGGAGTTACAAATATGTATATATATGTGTGTGTATATATATGTGTATATATGTGTGTGTATATATGTGTAAATATATACGTATCTATGTATATGTAAATATATTTATATATAAAAACCTGGATATTGCTTAACCCAGGAATACTACTCATAAGACTTTATCCTAATTAGCAATTAGATATATATGTCTGTGTGTTCATGGATATTCACTGTAGCACTCTTTGTAAGAGTACCTCCCCCACTCCCCAAAAAGTTAAAAACAATCTTACTATCTAGCACCATTAATTAAATTATGACACATTCATTTATCAGAATCCAGAATCCTATACAATCTTTTTTCCCGCCCAAAGGATGTGGTGAGTCCACAATACACAGTTAACTCAAAGAAGCCAATTAAGAAAATTACCAAAACAGCCTCAACTGATGGATATTATATTATTATTAGTGTTCATTTCTAGGGGGTAGAATTTCATGAATTTTTCCTTTTCTATTTTACATGCATTCATACATTTTTTACAATGAACACGTATTTATAAAAAACAAAAAAGTAAACAGATTTCTTATTGATTATTTAGAGACAGGGTCTTGCTCTGTCATCCAGGCTGGAGTGCACTGGCAAGATCATGGTTTACTTCAACCTTAAATTTTGGGGCTCTAATGGTCCTCCTGCCTCAGCCTCTTGAGTAGCTGGGACTACAGAAGCACACCACGACAACTGGCTAATTAAAATAATTTTTTTTGTAAAGACAAGGTCTCATTATGTTGCCCAGGCTGGTCTCAAACCCCTGGCCTCAAGCAATCCTCCTGCCTCAGCCTCCCAAAGTGCTGGGATTACAAGTGTGAGCCACCACACCCAGCAATTTCTATGTTTTAAAAAAGAAAAAAGGACAATAGTTAAGGGTGTAAGAAAGCTTGGAAATCATCTAGAACGATACCTTACTCAAAAGATGAGAAGGGGAGGATTAGAGAGCTTAAGTCCTACTGATAAACGGCAGAGCCAGCTCAATACCAGAGAACTCAATCTAGCAGAGAAAGAGAAGGAAAGGCAGCATGGCATTAAAAACTGAACAGGAGCTAAAGTATTTACCAGTTAATTTAAATGTATGGAATTTGTTTCAAAATAATCCAGTTTGGGAAACAGGAGAGGAGATACAGTTGAAATAGATTAACCTTGTGATAATTATTGGAACTAGGTAATGGGTTACAGGACAGTAGTCGTTCTATCTTTGTATATGTTCAAAGTTTTCTACATTTAACAGGTCAAGTTTATATTTTCCAGCTCTGTACCATGAAAAGACTGAGAAACCATAATCAATCTGGTAGCAATGAGCATACCAAGAGCCTAAACTGTAATAGCTAAATATTTCCCATTAGAAGAATCCAGGCTGGCCGGGCACAGTGGCTCACGCCTGTAATCCCAGCACTTTGGGAGGCTGAGGCGGGCGGATCACAAGGTCAGGAGATCGAGACCATCCTGGCTAACACAGTGAAACCCCGTCTCTACTAAAAATACAAAAAATTAGCCAGGCGTGGTGGTGGGCACCTGTAGTCCCAGCTACTTGGGAGGCTGAGGCAGGAGAATGGCATGAACCCGGGAAGCGGAGCTTGCAGTGAGCCAAGATCGTGCCACTGCACTCCAGCCTGGGTGACAGAGCGAGACTCCGCCTCAAAAAAAAAAAAGAATCCAGGCTGCCAACATGGTGAAACCCCATCTCTACTAAAAATACAAAAATTAGCTGGGCGTGGTGGTGTGTGCCTATAATCCCAGCTACTCAGGAGGCTGAGGCAGGAGAACTGCTTGAATCCGGGAGGCGAAGGTTGCAGTAAGCCAAGATGGCGCCACTGCCCTCCAGCCTGGTGACAGAGTGAGACTTCATCTCAAAAAAAAAAAAGAATCCAGGCTCACATCTGTAATCCCAGTGCTTTGGAAGGCCAAGGCAGGAAGATCGCTTAAGGCCAAGAGTTTGAGGTTATAGTGAGTTATGATAGTGCCACTGCACTCCAGCCTGGGCAGCAGAGTGAGACCCTGTTTCAAAACAAAACAAACAGAATCCAGGTTTAAAAAAAATGTTTAGTTTCAGATTTGGGTCATGAAATATACAAAATGAATTTCAAACATCTTGGCACAGCAGATATCAAAGACTACTAGGGCCATGTCAAAAGGATTCAGGAGCTAACCTGAAGAGGCTACAGCTGGCCAAAGATGAGAATGAATTTCAATAAGGGTAAGAATTGCAGTAAGTTGAAACCCAAATATATTTAAAGTCATAAGTTCAAATTAATTTAATACATAAATAGTCAACTTGGAAGGATGACAGGCTAATTCATTATCTTGAAAACGGAATAAATAGAAGAAGCATTTATCCTGCCTTTCCTATATGAACTGTAACGCTGGATAACCAAATAGTAGAGAAGCATCTCCTTACAAAATTATTCCAGTTAATAAATGAAAAGAGAATGATAAAATTATAGTATCACCATTTTGCAACCCCCAGTGAATTAATGGATCTAGGTACTATGCACCAACAGCTACTACCACCGCAATAAACAAGTGACAATCACGCAATATGTGCCTTCGGATAAAAGAACACATCACCACCAATAACACTGCCAAAGGAATTGAACTCAGATCTAATTAAGCCTTTCCATCCAGCTGCCAATTGGCAGTAAATACACAGGAACATGCTGAACTGCACAATGAGCCTGCAATCAGCAAAATCTAGACTGTGGGAAACTACAAGTAAATGACCTGAGTTCTTCAACAACAATAATAACAAAACGATAAGAAAAAGAAAGGAATAGAGGAGGAATCTATAAATGAAAAGAGACTTAAAAGACATCGAATTTAAAACAATGGGTAAGACTCAACCATAGTTGAGGGGCAGCTCGGTGATGAAGACAAAGAATGTCGAGGGTTTCTTCCTAACAGTCAGAATGGTGGCTACTTTTAGAGGGAGGAAGAAAGTTGTGATTGGGATGGGGCACATGGAGAGAAGGAAGAACTCTCTAATAAGGTGACATTTGGGGCAGATCTTATTCTCATTTAATAATTAAGAAAACTGAGGCTGGGGGCGGGGGCGTTGAGTAACTTGCCAAGGTTACACAGTAAGTGGTGGTGTGCTATGATCTCACTAAGAGCTTGAGCTCTTGCTCAGGCTCTTAACTGTGATTTAACACCTTTTTTTCTAAAGGTATATAAAAACTAAAGTGCACAAATCTTGAGTGTAACTTTACTTGAGAGTAAAGTTCAATGAACTTTACAAATTAAATAGTTTTGTTCTCAAGGTTTTAAATGTCCATATAAAGAGAGGAATGCTTAACCTCTTTTTGAAAATGTCTTTCAGTGCAAAGCCAACTTGTTGACAAGTTAAGATTGATAAGAAAAGTACTTCAACTTGGGAGGCTGAGGCAGGAGAATGGCGTGAACCCGGGAGGCGGAGCTTGCAGTGAGCCGAGATCCCGCCACTGCACTCCAGCCTGGGTGACAGAGCGAGACTCCGTCTCAAAAAAAAAAAGAAAAGAAAAGTACTTCAAAGACTGCAGCAGTAAGCAAGCTTTACCTGGAGCTGGGGGACAGGAGAGTCAGAAATGAGGCTTTTTTCTTTACTGAATAAAATAAAAACCTCCCTGAGGATTTTTGAAGAGAGCCAGCGTATGGCCATTGGAGGTGAGACATGACAAAGTAGCTTCAATCCACAGAAAAAGAGACATGCATGGGGCATTATAGTAGGAATGCTCAAAGATAAAAACTTGCAGGTTACCTAACAGAGGGGATAGTTTTCATAGCACCCTGAAGCAGGCAGAAACAGACACTAGAAAGCTGTTGTGCAAATTAAAAGATTTTCTTAGAGCAATAAGGAAGACTAGAGTGAAAAAGTAATTTGATTATAGTTAGGTTTAATGAAGCTATTTGAAACTGTGCCTGAGTAGGTCTAGTTCTTTTAAGTTGATTCCACGTAATATCTCAAATTGGATTTGATATATAAATCACAGTAATTAGTAAATATTTGTCCTGTTACTTTAAGAATGAATTTTTAGCATGGTGGCATGTGCCTGTAGTCCCAGCTATTCTGGAAGCTAAGATGGAAGGATCAGTTGAGCCCAGCAGTTAGAGGCTGCAGTGAGCTATGAATTAAACCTCTGTGATCCAGCCTGCGCAACAGAGCGAGACCCTATCTCAAAAAAGAAACATACTTGAATTTTTATAACAATCACAGTAACAAGAATGATAATAAATAACATTCATCAAGAGCTCTGTGGTAGTCTGAACTAACCAGTTACATGTATTAACTCATTTAACCTTCACAGATACTCTTGGAAGTATGTAGTTACAGCCTCACTATTTTTTTCAGATGAGGAAGCCAAGGCATGCAACCAATAAGCAACAGAAATGGAATACTGACATTATTGTGTGTCTGCATTTATCCACTGCTTGCATTTACTCGGCAGTCAATCTTCCCATTGGGCCAATCCTGCTCGAAAGTAGCACCACAATTCTCATGGTAGCAGGGCAATCTTAATGGAATTTAGGAAGAACTAAGCTCTCTAGAAAGAAGGCCTATCTGAAACAGTTCCATTTCAGGGAAGGAAGTGTTAGAAGTAGGCTTAACCTGTAAGCTTAACTTCTGCAACTCTTTAATCCATTATATTCCAAGGATATCTGGAAGTACATTAGATAGGGTATGGCCTGTAAACTATAGATTTCTCTAGTGCAGTGCTTGGCATGTAGTAGGTACTCAACAAATATTTATTGAATGAAAGTGAAAATGAATACATGAGTAACAATCACAGAACATTCCAACATATTGTATAATTTCCTAATACCAAGTAAGTAAACCAGATAATTGCCAGTGGATCCTTTAATTTTAAGCAGTTGTTGAAAAGGCTAACTAAAGAAGGGGATGTAAGAAAAACGCCTGGAGAAAACAAGAGAGGAAGAGAACAAATGCAGGGGTATGAGGTAGCTGAGAGAACCAACAGGCTAATAGATGATGATGAAGAAGCTTTTCTCACTGATATGTAAATATACATGGATAGCTATCTTTATTCAGTTTGCCAGGAGTCTCCATTATCCTGAAAAGTGAAAATGTAATTAAGCTGTACCCCTTCACACTCTCATACACAAACACATGCACACTTATTTTCCATTAAAACACCCTTTGAAATAAAAGCGGAGAAAAAGTCAAAGCAGAATTTTTTAAATTCACGCACTCATTTTTTTTAGTTTTTATCAACCTAGTTATTTTGGGTTGCTATTCACTAAAAACTATAAGATATGTCGGTGTCGGGGCCATATGTTGAAAGTCAACGGGATTCTTTTTCTTCTAGCATTCTCTATCTTTCATTGGCAGGTTTTCTTAGTAAGATCTGTCATCTGGAAGAGCTCATTCTGCACAGTTGATGATTTTCCATAGGTTATGTTTTCAGGCTGAATCATAATCTTTTGTAGTTATAATCTGCTGAAATTCTCATTACACTCATACAATATTTAAAACATTTTGTGTTTTTATTTTTCCAAAATGGAATATAAGAGTTTTTCACCATCTTCACAATTAAACTAATATCAAATTGTCTTGACAGAATCTTTAATTATGGGGTAGAGAGTGATTAAGTTTTATAACTTAAAATCCCAGATCTACCACAGAGTTATAAACTCAGTATTTTATGTATTCTTAACAAAGGCTGTCTGCAGCAGCCAAGGGAGGTCACAAATGTTATACTGCATGCTTTGATTCTGATTTATGGTTAGGATTGTTAGAACTTGTATTTTGTGCCCTCGCTACATATGTAGGTTGTAAATATTGCATAAGAAGATTGGAATGCAATAGCCATAAAAATAATTGCAGGCTATTACATAATCAGAAGTCTGTTCCTATTCTTTATTACGGTAGTCTCATCATACTAAGTAATATATATGTACTGAATAAAAATAGAATGAGCTCTAGCATTATATTCCCTTTTATGTTTCTTTTAGATTTAAGATTTTAATTGCTACAATTGTGGATCACAGTGTTTCTTTAAAAAAAAAAGTAGAAAAAGCGAGGTCCACTCAAATAATGTAAGAACTCATCTACATTATCATTAAATCATTTTACATACACGCATATATTATTTTTTCTTTAAAAAGAAATTTTTTTAAAAAAGGAAAAAAGAAAATTCTTACTGAGTATACACTGTGTTCAGGGCACTGTGCTATAAAGCAAGAAAATACAAAGGTGAATTACACCAATTCTGCCATAAGGAGCTTCAACTCTTCCCAGCATCTGCCCTTCCTTCCTGTTTGTACTGCTACCTGTGGATCACTTCATTTCTAGTTCCAGTAGCCTCCTTTAACCTATGCTCCTTCCCTCCATGTGCCTTCCCCAGTGAAGTCTTAAGGTGCCACTTTGTACCTTGACTGTTTTAAAACCTGACATGACTCTTTAATGTGTACTGATGAAATCCAAATCCTTTAATCTGGCATTCCACACTCAACAATCTTGTTTGTCCTTGAACAGAATTCAAACTCATCCACCTCTGGGCCTTTCCTCAAACTTGCACTCTTCCTGGAGGTGACCGTTGTATAATGCCATATCTGATGGGTAAGATTTCAACAGATAGAAATTGTAATGTGGAGTATTACAGATTGAGGAAGACACAAAATCAAGAAAGTATAAGATGTGTTCAGGTTAACTGTTCAGTATGACCGTGGTATAAAATTGATGTAAGTAAGTAGAAGGGACAGGGACAATATATTAATAACATTCAAGAGCTATTATTATAGATCTGAGTATCTAACTATCTTTCTATCTCTCTGCCTACCTACCTAATACCTGTGTGGTTTTAAAACATGTCCACAAGGGCCACGCGCAGTGGCTCACGCCTGTAATCCCAGCACTGTGGGAGGCAGAGGCAGGCAGATCACCTGAGGTCAGGAGTTTGAGACCAGCCTGGCCAACATGGTGAAACGCCATCTCTACTAAAAATACAAAAATTAGCCGGGCGTGGTGGCACATGCCTGTAATCCCAGCTATTCAGGAGGCTGAGGCAGGAGAATCATTTGAACCCAGTGAGCTGAGATTGCACCATTGCACTCCAGCCTGGGCGACAAGAGCAAAACTCCGCCTCAAAAATAAATAAATTAATTAAACAAAATAAAATTAAAATGTCCACAAACTCTTCGATATTCCTACCTTCAAACGGTGGAGATAATTCCCTTTATCTTAAGTATGGGCTAGACCTAAATAACTTCCATGAAGTGAGTAAAAGGAAGTGGCAGTGTAAGACTTCACACTAGGTCAAAAAAGGCCCTGTGGCGTCCTCACTCTTCCTTGGATTGCTTGTTCTGGAAGAAGTCAAGCCCCATGTTGTGAAGACACTCAAGCAGCCTTTGGAGAAGCCGATGTGATGAGGCATCAAGCCTTCCTAATAACAGCCATGTGAGTGAACCATCTTGGAAGTGCATCCTCCAGCCCCAGTTCATCTTTCAGATGGCTACTGCAGCCACTTGAGAGACACTGAGCTGGAACTTCTCAGCTAACTCAATCCCAAATTCCTAAGCCAGAAAAACTGTGAGATAATGAATGTTTATTGTCTTAAGCCACTAAATGTCGAGTAACGTATTATGCAGCAATAGATAACTAATATAACCTATCGATACATGTCTACAAAAGAGGCTATCAGTGACTTCAAATATAAATATATATAATAATATTCCCAAACAATATACTAAAGAATAAAAAGCCTTTTAAGCTGTCATATTACTGATATGACTAATAAGTACAGTGAGGAACACTGACCACATTTATCATATTTACCAACATATATACGTCAGCATAGAATACAATGCCTAAGTCAGAGTCACAATTTAATAAATTATCGTGGCTGTTTTTTTTATTTTTTTATTTTTTATTTATTTATTTTTTTTTTGAGATGAGATGGAGTCTCATTCTGTCGCCTAGGCTGGAGTGCAGTGGCGCGATCTCGGCTCACTACAACTTCCACCTTCCAGGTTCAAGTGGTTCTCCTACCTCGGCCTCCTGAGTAGCTGGGACTACAGGCATGTGTCACCACGCCCAGCTAATTTTTGTAATTTTTTTTTTTTTTTTTTTTTTAGTAGAGACAGGGTTTCACCACGTTGGCCAGGCTGGTCTCAAACTCCAGACCACAAGTGATCCGCCTGCCTCGGCCTCCCAAAGTGCTGGGATTACAGGCATGAGCTACCGCACCCAGCCACAGTTCAATAAATATTGTTGAATAAATTGGTGGATCCTTTTCCAAGAACGGCTCTGAAGGAGATTTTCTTACATTATGATAAATTTCATGTCCTAGGTTTCTTAACAAAAGGCAAAACCAGGCAGGGCAAATGGAGAGAAAATATAATTCCTTAAAACTTTCTGTATTCAATATATTGCTTTTTAAAATTATGTTTTTATTGCAAAATAAAATACAAATATGGAAAACTACACAAAACCTATCTATAGCTTAGCGAATTACTACAGGACAAAACCACCCAGGTAGAGAAACAGAACTTTGTCAGCTATCCTAGAAGCTCCTTCAAGCTGTGTGTGTGTGGATGGATGTAGTTTCCTTTCCCTCATCCCAGACTATTCAGGCTTAGAATAACAGAGGCGATATTAAGGAGAACCACAACCCAAGGAGTGGCTCCTGTCACGGCCAGAACCTCGTGAGCACAGTTCTTTACGGCATTATAATTTGCTGCTAGCCATAGTACCTGTGAGTGAGAAGCCAGAGCAGTCTGACCGGATCAGGAATAGGAAGACTCTCAATGTAAACTTAGTATCTTTTTTTATGTTTAATACGTGGCATTAAAGAGGCACCAGTGGAATTTTCAAGTGAGAAGAGGTGATAGTGGTAACAGGTTTAGACCTCACACTTATGAACAAGTCAGGATTCTTGCTTTGTAGATTTTAATTTGGGATAGCTTTATATTACAGTGTTGACTAAAGTTAAACCGCCTTGATTTGTTATGATTGTCTAATAAAGAAACTTCTGATGGTGTGCTAAAGAAATGAAGTTGAACTTTCAGCTGTGTGCCCTCAAGTAAATGGTTCTTTTTTTTTTTTTTTTGAGATAGAGTCTCACTCTGTCGCCCAGGCTGGAGTGCAGTGGCACAATCTCGGCTCACTGCAACCTCCGCCTCCCAGGTTCAAGCATTTCTCCTGCCTCGGCCTCCCGAGTAGCTGGGATTACAGGCACCCGCCACCACATCTGGCTAATTTTTGTATTCTTTAGTAGAGAAGAGGTTTCACCATGTTGGCCAGGCTGATCTTGAACTCCTGACCTCAGGTGATCCGCCCACCTCCGCCTCCCAAAATGCTGGGATTACAGGCGTGAGCCACCGCACCCAGACAAGTATATGTTTCTTTACTGCAATTATGGATTGCCTGGGTGCACTAGCATAAAACTTCAGCCTCACACATGCCAATTCTCAAGTATATGGGTCTATGACAATTTTCTAAAATGAATCAAGTATCAATTGAACATTAGAGTATAGGAATCATTCAAAAGGCTGATTCTGAAAAATGAAAAAGAATAGCTTCATGTTGATTTCCAGCTTTTTGCAATATCATTTACGATAACTAGAAAACACTGAATCATTCTAAAATTATTATGGGAATTTGCTTAACTTCATTTAAGTTGGAAAACAGATCTTACACAGCCTTAACAAGGCTTCTAAGTCTTGCCCTTTAATGACGTAATTGTTTAGAGGTGCTAATAAAGTTTCCTGGACAGGCCAATATACTTCAAATGAAACAAGATTAGATTACTCCACCATTTTACAAGATAGCCTGCAGATGCCCACAAGATACGTAGTAGCAAACTAAGTTCCATTCAGTGCCAAGTAACTTGCTAATGTCACTTTTTTAGAAAGAAAGGGAGGTGAGATTTGTTGACAGGACTACTATGGGTCTCCACTAAAAAGTTCCTGTCAAAAAATAAGCATTTTCACAGTTCCACTGTATCAGAGACTACAAAGAATATGTGAAGCATTGAAATCCCAACCCTTCATCCAGTGAAAACGGCTTGCTCTACAGGAAGCCTCCATGGTAGTCTCTTGGGGTAAAAAGAGCGTGGGCTTTTGAGTGAGACAGACCTGAATTGAAATCCAGGCCCTGCCACATACAGTTCATACAGTTAGGATAACCCTGGGTAACCCATTCAACTTCTCTGAGCTTAGGTTTCCTCATCTTAAAAAAATGAAGATAATAATGCCTTACTGGCTTACTGGATGAGTCAAGATTTTTTTGATCATAAGTGACAGGAACCCAAATCATACTCACATAAAAAAAAGTTACTTATTGGAAAACTATGGGAGGGGCTCAAAGATTCCAAAGAAGAGCTGGTTATAGGAGCTGGAGCCAAAATAGTTTCTCAAACCTCAAGGACCAAAACCAAAAATCTCAGCACTGACAGTACTCTTTCTCTCTAAATCTTTATCACTCATCATTTTCCATGTTGGCTTCCTTTCATTCTCACTGTGTAGAGCTGCACTGTCCAAAATGGCAGTTACTAGCCAAATGTGGTTACTGAGTACCTAGAATGTGACTAGTCTGAACTGAGAGGTGGTAAAGGGTAAATACACTGGATTTTAAAGACTTGGCACAAAATATGTAATCATACAATGAGTCATTAACAATTTTTATTTTGATTATATGTTGAAATGATATTTTGAGTATAATGCGTTAAGTAAAACATTATTAAAACATTATTTCACCTACTTCATTTTAGTTCTTTCAATGTGGTTACTAGAAAATGTTAAGTTGCATATGCGGCTTGCATTATATTGGTACTGGACAGTGCTGTCTAGAGTCTTTTCCCACGTGATGAGAAACACAGCTTCTTATAGTTCTGGACTCAATTCAAGCTTACAAATATCTCAGAAAAGAAAAGGATTTTTCCTTCCTACTTAAGTTTGTAAATGTCCTAGGAAGGACTCTGACTGGGCAAGCTTAGATCACATACCCAGTTCTTAAACTAACCCCTGCCAGGCAGAAGGGGAACTGCACTAGACAGTCCTAGCAGAATCACATGGATGAAGGAGGGAAAAGAACATGGGCATGGGATACTACTACAAGAAGAAGGGGAAAAGACGTGCTAGGCAGACAAAACAACATACATCCACTGTGCCACCTTACAGGGTGGCTGTGAGATGTCTTTTATTCTGACCAATGTCTGTCTCTAAATGCTAGTGGTGACATTAAGTGGCTGTAAGTCATAACACAGAATGGCACACATTAGAAACCCTGGGGATAAACACTTGAGATTTCTACACCTGAGTGTTCATCAAATGTACCTGAACCAATGATACTAAGCCCTAGATGCTGGAAGCTTATAAGAAGGATTGATTTCAAAGAGCAATTGGTGAAGATCTCAGCTTTACTCTACATTGATGTGAGCTGATAATGCCTTTTTAACACAAGTATCATTGCTGATAATGCAGAAGAAGTTTTATGAAGCAGGTAACAATCCTGGAAATATGTTTTTTTTTTTTTTGGTTTTTTTTTTTTGAGATGGAGTCTTGCTCTGTTACCAGGCTGGAGTGCAGTGACGCAATCTTGGCTCACTGCAACCTCCACCTCCCGGGTTCAAGTGATTCCCCTGCCTCAGCCTCCCAAGTAGCTGGGACTACAGGCACGCACCACCACACCAGGCTAATTTTTTGTATTTTAGTAGAGACCGGGTTTCACCATGTTGCCCAGGATGGTCTCTATCTCCTGACCTCATGATCCGCCTGACTCAGCCCACAAAGTGCTGGTATTACAGGTGTGTGCCACCATGCCCGGCCAGGTTTTTTGTTTTTTTTTTTTTTTTGAGACGGACTCCTGCTCTGTCACCCAGGCTGGCATGCAGTGGCACAATCTCAGCTCACTGCAACCTCCATCTCCTGGATTCAAGCAATTCTCCTGCCTCAGCCTGCCAAGTAGCTGGGATTACAGGCACCTGCCAGCATGCCCAGCTAATTTTTGTATTTTTAGTAGAGAAAGGGTTTTGCCACGTTGGCCAGGCTGGTCTCGAACTCCTGACCTCAGGTGATCCCCTGACTTGGACTCCCAAAGTGCTGAGATTACAGGCGTGAGCCACCGCACCTGGCCAACAATCCTGGAAATGTTTATATGCTGTTTTGAATCTACTACCAAATACAACAGGCCATAAAGTCTACAGCAGCAGTTCTCAAAGTGTTTGGGACTCCCTTTTACAAGTAATGAGAATCATGAAGTGCTCCTATTTATGTGTGCTATCTCTGTTGACATTTAGCCTATCTGAAATTAGAACACAGGTTTTTAAAAAAAAAAAGTTATTGAAATTTTATCACGTTTTCTTCTAGAAGTTGTATAGTTTCAGGTTTTACTTTTAGGTCTATAATCCATTTTGAGTTAAACTTTACATGGAAATATATATATATATGTCAACAAATATATATATATGTCTTTTCAAGGCATGGATTGAAGTTTCTTTTCTTTTCTCTTTTTTTTTTTTTTTTTTTGAGACAGAGTCTCACTCTGTTGCTCAGGCTGGAGTGCAGTGGCACAATCTCAGCTCAGTGCAAGCTCCGCCTCCCAGGTTCACGTCATTCTCCTGCCTCAGCCTCCCGAGTAGCTGGGACTACAGGCGCCCGCCACCACGCCCAGCTAATTTTTTGTATTTTTAGTAGAGACAAGGTTTCACCGTATTAGCCAGGATGGTCGCTATCTCCTGACCTCGTGATCTGCCCGCCTCGGCCTCTCAAAGTGCTGGGATTACAGGCATGAGCCACCGCACCAGGCCTTTTCTCTTTTTTTTTTAAATATAGATATCCAATTGTTCTAGCATCATGTGTTGAAAAGATTATCTGTTCTTCTCTGAATTGCCTTTTGCACCTGGGTCAAAAATCAATTGTCCACGTATGTGTGGATCTATTTCTGAATATTCTATTCTGTTCCAATGATCTATACTGGTATATTTTTTTCTAGACCATCATCACACTGTCTTGATTACTGGAGCTTTATAATAAGTCTTTGAAATCAGGGAATGTGAGTCCTCCAATTTTGTTCTTCTTTTTCAAAATTGTTTAGGCTATTCTAGGTCCTTGGTATTTCAAAATAAATTTTAGAATCAGATTGTCAATTTTTACAATTTCTGCTGAGATTTCAACTTGCTAGAATTGTGCCAGATCTATATGCCAATTTAGGAAGAACTGATATCTTACGAGATTAAGTCTTCCAGCATATGAACATGACATATCCATTTGTTTAGATCTTCATTAGTTTCTCTCAGCAATGTTTTGTAGTTTTCAGGATAAAAGTCTTTCATATCTTTTCTTAGATTTATCTCTAAATATTCCATAATTTTGATGTTATTATAAATGTTATCTTTAAAATATCAAATTTTAATTACTTGTTAGCCTATAGAAATATAATTGATTTTATATATTGACCTTGTATCCTGCAACATTACAAAATTCACTTATTAGTTCTAGAAGCTTTTTTGTAATTTCCTTAGGCTTTTTGACATAGTCAACAATATCATCTGTGAAAAGATAGTTTTACTTCTTCCTTTCTACTCTAAATGTTATTCCTTTTTCTTGCTTTATTGCTCTGGCCAGGCCCCCCCAGTACTGAATAGAATGGTGAGAGTAACATCTTTGCCTTCTTAATCTTAGAGAGAAAGTATTTGGTCTTTTACAACATCAAGTATGATACTAGCTATAGGATTTTCATAGATGTACTTCTATCAGGTTGAGGAAGTTCCTTTCCATTCCTAGATTCCTAAGAGTTTTTTAATCAGGAATATATGCTCAATTTTGTCAAATGTTTTTTCTATGTCTATTGAGATAATCACATGATTTTTCTTTCTTAGTTTGTTAATATGATTAGTTATATTGTTGATTTTTGAATATTCAGCCTACCTTACATCCCTGGGATAAACTCCACTTATTCATAATGTATCATCCTTTTTATGTATCATTCTTTTGAGTTTGTTAAAATTTTATTTCAAATATTGCACCTGTGTTTATGAGACAGATGCATCTGGAGTTTTCTTTTCTTGTAATATCTTTGCCTGATTTTTGTCATCAAGTAGTGCTGTCCTCACAGAACAAGTTAGAAATCATTTCCCCTTTTTCAATTTTCCCAAAGATTTTCTATACTATTTCTTCCTTAAATGATTGGTGGAATTTACCAGGGAGGTCATCTGTGCCTAAAGTTTTCATGGTGGGAACATATTTAACTATAATAGACACAAGGCTATCCAAATTATCTACTTCTTCTTGAATAAACTTTGGTAAAATCCGAGAAAATTTCTAAAATGCAAGAACACACAAGCAAATATGGCCTTGGCTATCAGAGTGATGACACCATGTAGCCTCTGGAATACTCCACTATTCACTCATGAGGTATGGAAATTCTTAATTTTATTTTGAAAATAGTTTTTACCTCATGTACTCTCTGAAAGAGTCCTGGAAATACCAGCAGTCCTTGGACCATACTTGTGAGTTGCTGGTCTATGGAAAAGAGACTAAGAATGCCAACACTATCAGTATTCCAGGATCTTCTGCTAAAGAGTATTTTCATGAAGTACTCACATGACTTTCTAGGGTTAACACAAAGTTGACAAATCTAAATCATATCCCATCCTGCTTCAAGAGAGTCAAACTGCTTATGAGCAATCCTGGAACAAGGAGAAACACCAACTTTATTTCTGGGATTCACACATCCCAACTATATAATATGATCATAATATGAAAACAAATCTGCAACAGATACAAGGAAGAAAATGGATCTTCAGAAAAATGAAGGAAAGAGGGTAGATCCCTTTGTGACATTATTTTGTCATTAAACTAGATCAAGGTATGTGTGTACTGTTAAAATATGTTTCAAAATATTTTATAAAATAAAAAATCCCTCTCTTCTAGTTCTGTATTAAATGTCAATCAAGTCAAGGGCTTCTCCTATGCCAAATTCTGGAAATGTATTTATAAATAAAAATAAAAAGGAGGGGCGTGCTGGGTGACAATGATTGTAAAACTCAGCTAAGCAAAAAGAATAAAACCAAAAAACCTCAGAGACACCTCAGACTGCTGTATCTCAGGATAAGGGAGGCAACGGTAACCAGCAGCCACAGAAGGCACAGGGCGGGCTCGAATAATGCTTCTCAAACCATCCACAGTGAAGGAGCCGTTGTTGTTTGTTTCTCTCTAATCCATCACCAACTGATGGATTTGTAAAATACATTCAAAGTGAATTACTAGAAAAAGAAATCTTTTAAAACACATACAAAATACAAACCCAACATTTCTATCATTAGATTCAACAGATATATGATTATTCTGTCAGCTGCTTTTAATGTTTCTAAACGCTCTCAATGCTGTGTTTGTTTCATCAAGAACCAAAACTGATGCACTTTGGGTAGCACCGGCTAGAAGGTTCTGGCACCTTTCCTCTCCCCTACTTTCCCAGGTTAATCACTGAGTTAAGTGACCATGCACCCCAGCTGGTATATAAAATTATACAATGTTTATATATATACATATATATATATATTTTATATACACTTCAGCAAATCTAAAACATGCATCACCTGAAGCCTTGATATTAAGTTTTCTATCACCTTGAGCCCTGACTATGATAACAGGTCTGCATCCAGGGTCCAGCCTCATTTCCTCCTTCCTCCTCTCCATCATTTTATATTATGTTTCTGGCTGATTTCTATTCCTAAATACAATCCCAATTGTAATACTACCCTGCTCAAAAATAATGATTAAAATTTGAGTTAAGTATTTAAGGCTGTAACACTATGTCTTTAAAATGCCCTTCCTTTCTTATCTCCCACTACTTTGTACACAAGTTCTACGTTTTAGCCAAACTGGACTGTTCAACTGTTTTCCAACTGTGCTACTGTTGCCACCTAAAAAAATGCTTGTTCTTTCTGTCTAGCTTCTTTTTTTTTTTTGAGACAGTCTCACTCTGTCACCCAGGCTGGAATGCAGTAGCGTGATCTTGGCTTACTGCAAGCTCCGCCTCCCAGGTTCACGCCATTCTCCTGCCTCAGCCTCCCAAGTAGCTGGGACTCCAGGTGCCCGCCACCATGCCCGGTTAATTTTTTTGCATTTTCAGTAGAGACGGGGTTTCACTGTGTTAGCCAGGATGGTCTCGATCTCTTGACCTTGTGATCCTCCCGCCTCGGCCTCCCAAAGTGCTGGAATTACAGGCGTGAGCCACCGTGCCTGGCCTGTCTAGCTTCTCTTTATCAAAACCAAGTCTTTCAAGGCCGTTCCAAATGTCACCTCCTTTATAAAGGTTTTTTTCCCAGCCAGGTGTAATCCTCTCTCACCAACCTACTAAATTTTGTACTTTTCTTAATAATTAAGTATTATCCTAACATGCATTACACTATTATCTGTGTAGTCACCTTACACCATTAATCAGCTTTTACCTTTATTTGAGTTGTAGGTCTGCTGATTGATGAAAATGGAGTAATGAGAACAGATGACAGAAACAAACCGGCACAACCTGTCAGGTGCCAGGTGGCACCTTTAAGATGTGGGTGAAGAAAACTCTACCATAGAGGAAAGTAGTTCCAGATTAAAAAAAAAAAATGGTCACCTGTAGTGATCACATCCCATAATTCCTGTTAGTCTCACTGTGCTATATGGTTCCAATCCCCACTTCCCTTTCTGGATCATAGGTTGCAAGGCTTCCCTCATAAACGGACTGAAGAAAATAGGGCAAATCCAAAAAGCTGATATGAAGGGATTAAGTCTACACATTGGCTTAGGAAAACCAACTGCTTAAAGCTGGATTAGTAAGACAAGGAAGTATGGTCTTCTACAAACTCAAGAAGTACGAATTAATGTTGATGCTTAGAGTCTTAATAAACACTGACCTGATCAACCCTCCCTGGAGTTTTGTGCTTATTTTTGGGCACCACAGTTTAAGAGAGATGCTGGCAATCTGGAACACTCCCTAAAGAGAAGTATGAAGATGGAGAAGGACTTAAAAACCTGCGACATATTTGGAAAGTGCAAAGGACTAAGAATGCCTAGCCTATAAGTTTTAAAATACAAGTGTTGCTGCTATAATATGATATACGCATTCCTTAAAAAATTGCATTCTAGTAAATTACATACTAAAAATAAGAGACTTATGAGGAAAATATAGACCACTTAAGGCCTGCACAACTTTGTAAGCACAGCACTGACAAAAACCAAAGTAATTTCAGTAAAATATTAATGTATTTAAGATGCTATATTCCCAATAATAAGTGACACAATAAATAATACAGTATGCCTCCAAAGCTTGCTATGTTCATATGTATTAGTGTACTTTGCATTTAGTTGCTGTATTTAGTGGTCAAAATAATTAATGTGCTAGAGAAAAAGTCAACTGTAAGCCATAGCTGCTTTTGTATTATACTGACAGGCTTCTACTATTTGCCAATTGTGAACGAACTAATTCATGTTACTAAAGCATGTCCTGTAGAAGAATAGACTGTACTTAAATGACAATCACTATAAATGGGGACAGGGTAGCAAAGCAGGTCAACTGATAATCATTTGAGATACACCTACATTCTAAAATAGAAATTTTGAAAAAAAGAAAGAAGCACATCATAAAAAAAAATTTTAAATAAACTGTAAAACAACAAAAGAAAGCCAAAAGAGGAAGGCTCTCTTTTTTAAAAAATAAATTTTATTGTGTATATTTAAGGCATACAATCTGATGTTATGGGATATATACAGACAATAAAAAGGTTACTACAGTGAAGGAAATTAATACATCCATCATCTCACATAGTTACCCATTTTTTGGTGGTTGTTTTTATGGCCAGAGCAGCTGAAATCTACTCATTTAGCATGAATTCCATATATGGTACAATTCTATAACCTGTAGTCCTGTTGCACATTAGAGTGCTAGACTTGTTCATCCTACACAGGTGCTCTTCGTACCCTCTGATGTACACAGAAGATGTATCCTACATCCCCCCATTCACCACTCACCACCACCCCCAACCCATGGTAACCTCTGTATTGTTCTCCACATATATTTGAAATTTTTTTTAAGATTCTACATACAAGCGAGATCATGCAATACTTTTCTTTCTGTGTCTGGCTTATTCCACTTAGCATCATATCCTCCAGGCTCACCCATGTTGTGGCAAATGGCAAGATCTCATTCTTTTTTAGGACTGAATAATATTTCAAAATGCATATGTACCACAGTTTCCTTATCCATTCAACCACTGTTGAACAATTAGGTTGTTTCCATATGTTGGCTCTTGTGACTAAAGCTGCAATGAACATGGCTGTGCAGAGATCTTTATGAGGTGGTGATTTCATTTCCTTTGGTTATATGCCCAGAAGAGGCATTACTGGTAGTTCTATTTTTAATTTCTTTAGAAACCTCCATTGTGTTTTCCATAATGGGTTACCCCAATCTACATTCCAAGAAACTACCTGTAACTTCTTTTTTCCAAGAAACTACCTGTGACTTCTTCATTTTTACTAAGAAAATATATATACCATTGTCAGAATTACCATAAATCATATTTGGAAACTTAAGGCAAGTAAAAATTTAAGTTTTGAATTCTACATAAGGGAAATCAGAAGAGAGGAAAAATTAAGTAGTAAACATAACTCTGTCATAATTTCAATGAAATTTTTTCTTTTTTTTAACTTTTATTTTAGGTTCAGGGGTACATGTGCAGGTTTGTTATACAGGTGTATTGCATGCCACAGGGTTTGGTATACAGATTATTTTGTTACCCAGGTAATAACCATAGTACTTGACAGGTAGTTTTTTGATCCTCACCCTCCTCTCACCCTCCACCCTAGGGTAGGCCTTGGTGGCTATTTCTCCCTTTTTTGTATCCACATATACTCAAAGTTCAGCTCCCACTTATGAGTAAGAACATGCAGTATTTGGTATTCTGTTCCTGTGTTAGTTTCCTTAGGATAATGACCTCCAGCTCCATCGCTGTTGTTGCAAAAGACATGATCTCATTGTTTTAATGGCTGTACAGTATTCACTTGTGCATATGTACCACATTTTTTTCATCCAGTCTACCACTGATGGGCATTTAAGTTGATTCCATGTTTTTGCTATTGTGAATAGTGCTTAGTTCCACAGTAAATTCAATACTTTGAAATACAAATTAAATGACTTAATGAAATCAAAACCATTTCTATTCTGCACCTGCACCAAGCTCAGAAGTGTATTAAGTACCATCATATTTATTATCTCATTAATAGTCCCAACAATCCTGTGTGGTAAGCATAGCTATCTTAGTCAGTTCCAATTCCCATAACAAAACACTATAAACTGCGTAGCTAACAAAATACTATAAACTGTGTAAAAAACAGAGAGTTGTTTCTTACAGTACTGGAAGCTAGAATGTCCATGATCAAGGTAGCAGCAACTGTGGTGTCTGGTGAGGGCCTGTTTCCTAGTTCACAGATGGTGCCTTCTCACTGTGTCCTCAGGCCTGTTAGCCCTCTAGGGCTTCTTTCATAAGGGTATTAATCCCATTCACCAGGGCTCCACCCTCATAACTGAATCACCTCCAAAGGTCCTAACTCCTAATACCATCACCTTGGGGATTAGGATTTCAACATATAAATTTGGGGGAAGGTGGGTATAAAATTTCAGATCATAATAATAGCTAACGTCATTTTAACAGTTTGGGAAACTAAGACTTGGAAGATAATTCAGTAAATTTTATGTTACTAACAGATGATTTAAAATAAGAGAGAAGATGGAATAAAAGAAGGAAGGTTAAAAAAAGGGTAGGGGGAGAAAGAGAAGAAGGGAGACTTCAACAGAGTTGAAGGTACTAATCAAACATAAACAGAGACCATGGTATAAAAACCACGGACACTCACTGAGCCAAATCCCTTTACGTATCTATTTATGATGCACCAGGTGTCTTTGTGAAGAAACACTCCCCTCCATCATCTAGAAAAGGGATCCACAAACTACTGCCTATGGGCCAAATCCAGCCCAATGCCTGGGCTGGATTTAAAAAAACGGTTTATCTTTTACTTTAAAAATAAACGTTGTTTTGTTTTTGTTTTTAGAAATTCATATTTTTTAATTGACAAATAATAACTGTACATATTCATGAAAAACATAGTGATGTTTCTATACACATAATGTATAGTGATCAGATCAGGGTAATTAGCATATCCATCATCTCAAACATGAAAATAAAGTTTTATTGGAACTCAGCCACACTCATTCATTTACATATTGTCTGTAGCTGCTTTCATGCTATGAAAGCAGAGTTGAGTAGTTGTGACAGAGACCATATGGCACACAAGTCTAAAATTTTACTATCTTGCCCTTTAGAGGAGCCTGCTGGACCCTGAACTAGAGTGTATTTTTCCCTAAGTCCTGTCTGCTCTCTAGAGAAGGGAGGTGGAACAAGGACGAGGTACTGAGCGCAGCCATGGGTCCACTGCTTAATAAAGAAAGAGACAGATTCCCTGCAGTGTAAGTGTTCAGACCATCTCACTGCTTTCTTTGTGATTAAGTCTCAAATGCAAATTTTGGCTCAAATTTAGCAAGGATAAATCGTCTTATTACAGGAGTAAACAGCACCCTACTTTTATGGCACTATCTTCCCAGTACTCCTTCCTACTTTTAGAAAAGTATGCCCACTCCTATTTGATTAGACAGAAATTATTTCCTTTAAGATAAGAAGATGACGGTTCTGTGTGAATTCTTTATGGTCCTTCAAGTACCAGACGACTATTTTGCTTTAAAGCTAGATTTTACAAGAGTGTGTTAAAGCAGTCTTTCTCTCTAAAAGCTGACTATTAAGTGTGACTTTACTGATTTCAAAAAAATTCCCTGAACTTAAAAGTCTCAAATTCAGAGGAGTTATTTAATCTGTGGTTTAGAGAAAAACTTGTAAGGTCAGCCTTTGAATTTATATATTCTTATCAGAATCAAAGGCTTTTCAATGTTTCTATCTTACATGTGCTGAAAAAGAATTATAATCAATACATACCACCCTAACAAGCTTGCTGGATTTTAAATAAAGTGAATATCTGGGGGGAAATTACCAGTTTCCTTTCTAGCAAACATGTAATGCTAAATGGGCTTCAAGCATTTCCAAATAGTAAAAGACAATGCAAGAATTCATCCACAAAAAAATTCCAGTAACGTTAATCAGTCTAATGTTCTTCTGGGTGCAGGGAATGCAAAATCCTCCCCTGTTCCTAAGGGCAGATGAGAAGAATGAGAAATTTCAAAACTCTGCCAACTTATTCAATCTTTAATGGCAAGTCACAAAATGTGACTGTCATACACACACTTTGTTTTTTAACACTCATGCCATTACCTATTTCTCCTAACAATATAAAAGAATGACAGCACCACTTGAAATGGGCTTTTCCAGGCAAAATTTCCTTTAAACTTTTCCAGGAGAGAACATTGATATAATGATCATATTTAAGCATATCACGAATTAAAACAACTTCTTAAGAAACCTTCTCTATGATTACGGCCGGGTGTGGTGGCTCACACCTATAATCTCAGCACTTTGGGAGACCCAGGCAGGCAGATCATTTGAGGTCAGGAGTTCGAGACCAGCCTGGCCAACATGACGAAACCCCATCTCTACTAAAAATACAAAAATTAGCCAGGCATGGTGGCACATGCCTGTAATCCCAGCTACTGGGGAAGCTGAGGTATGAGAATTGCCTGAATCCCAGAGGCGGAGGTGGCAGTGAGCCAAGATCGTGCCACTACGCTCCAGCCTGGGTGACAGAGCAAGACTCTGTCTATTGGAAAAAAAAAAAAAAGCAAAAAAAAAACCTTCTCTATGATTATTTTGGCTAGTATGCTATCATTTCAGTTGTTTCTTCTTAATAGTTTCACTTGATCATTTCAGTTCTTCAAGTTTCCATCCCATTTCCAAAATTCATTTTGTCAGATACCCACTGAGTACATTTTCTAATCATTCATATCCTCATGAACACCAACAATCTGGCCTCTATTCTGGTCATCCTACTTAAAGTGTTCTCTCTACTCTCACCATCCCTATCATCCTCACAAATTCAAATGCTTTTTTTCTTGGTTCTAATTCTTTCAATGGCATTTGAGTATTTCCTTCATCATGAACATTTTAAAACCCTGACTTGGCCAGGCATGGTGGCTCATGCCTGTAATCCCAGAACCTTGGGAGGCCAAGGTGGGTGGATCACCTGAGGTCAGAAGTTCAAGACCAGCCTGCTCAATGTGGCAAAATCCCCTCTCTATTAAAAACACAAAAAATTAGCCAGGCCTGGTGGCAGGAGCCTGTAATCCCAGCTAGTCGGAAGGCTGAGGCAAAGGAATTGCTTGAACCTGGGAGGTGGAGGTTGCAGTGAGCCGAGATGGAGCCACTACACTCCAGCCTGGGCGACAAGAGCAAAACTCTGTCTCAAAAAAAAAAAACACACCTTGACCTTTATGACTCTGAGCTCCTGTTGTCCTTCTACATATACGACAATTCTCTTCCATTGGATTCTCCAAATTCAGGTTTCTCCACAGTTGTGTGCAAAATTTCCTCCTTCAAAAGGTTCACTTTGGTTTCATTATCCTGCTTCTTTTCCACCTTGACCTTTTAGCACCTCTCTCATTCTAGCTGCCAATAATCAAAATAAGATATTCTGTCAATACCTCCAAATAAACACAGTCTTGGGCAAGTAATTGAATTTCTTTGGACTTCTCCTTATTTTTATGTCAATTAAGTGAATTATCCAGAAAAAGATGAAAGAGTAGGAATTTCAGAGCCAGAAAGAAGAGCATGAGCAAAATGACAGCACTGGGAATTCTCACAGCACTGGCAGGACACTGCGGATAGTTGCCTTTCTGAGATTAAACGCACATTTTGGGAAGCTGTGTAAAACAGCACTGCATGGGAGAATGGGCTCTAGAAGCAGCATCCAACAAGTAAGTACTACTCATTTTGAGAAACGTTACAGGAGACTAACAGTAACACTGCAGGAAGATTGGGAACTGAAGAGAATGGGGCCAAGGAAATAGCTCTTACCATGATAACCCAGTTATAAGGGGATTAAGACTACCTGCTAAATGAAGTCTAAAATCAATCTCCCAGCATTCAGTATCTTTCCAACTTTTTTTCCTGGTTTTATCTCTCAGTAGTCTCTTGCAGGAAATTTCTCTTGCAACCTAGATTACTACCTACTTCCCAAATCAAGTATGTCCACACAGTCCCACCACTGACTGCATGATCATCCATCCCTGATCTGTTCCTCCTCCCCTCCAGCCTTGAAAAGCTATGCCACTTAGAGGTCTAGCTAATGCCCAAACTTGGTCATAAAGATTTTATGACCTAATCATTCCAATCCATAACAATTTTATTCTTTTTAAAAGCTTACTGGGCAGGTAGCGTACAAGTTAACACTTAACTATTTATCAGTAAATGTTAACTTATCAATTATATTATAAGGTCTCTGAGGACAATGATTATGCTTGAATTTCTTTTGTTGTTTGTCTAATCCCAGTATCATTTTATGGCAAAATCAGTACTTAGGTGTTCTGCACAGTACCGCACTCAAAAACCAAGCCAAACTCATTCTGGCCACTCTGTTGCAGTTGTGATAAGCGGCTCAGGATATTGAGTGGCACTGCAGTTCAAGGTTCTCCTGTTACCCACTGGGTCATAGTAAGATCTCCCTGAATACCACACTGTATAGTATAAATCAAGGAAAGTGAAGAAAAGCCTTCTGCCACCCACCTGGTACAAGACAGTTAGGTTTTAGAGCAAGGGTCACAAATTAACCCACAGGCCATGGCTACGACATAGAAGTGTTCTTGCACAGTGTTTGTAAACAATATTTATCATTGCTATTACTTAAAAGATAGTAGTTTTTCATATTAACAACAACATCAACAAGAAGCCCTGAGATTCTGGGCTCCTTTTTAATAACATCTGGATATCTGGCAACACCAGTCCCAAATTATCAAATGGAAAACAACTCTGTAGCTGTATAGCAGCTGCTGCCTTTAGATGAAGCACATACATGCTAGTTCACTCCAGTCCCTACCATTTCCTATTGTATTGTATCAAGTCAGATTCACTCCTTTTCAGTACTTGCCTGGCTCTGTGAATATCTGCATTTGCTACTAGGTTTGGTTAGAAAGCAGACTGACTATAAGTAGGTAGCCGGCTGGCCAATGTCAGGCTGAGGAGGCTGCTCCTGCATCAGATAATCTCAGCACACCTAGATGCTCTCTTCCATGTTAGTGATCTGCTTAGACCATTGCATAGTTACATATTCACAACTCTCTGCCTATCCTAGGCTCCTGAACAAGTCTAGACACCCTGAACTGAATTCCTGCTTTCTGCCTCTGTTTGGCAGAGTGACCTGGGCTCTGCACTGATTGTGCCCTGACTGATCAGTACAGCCACAGTGACTTCAGAAGAAGGATGAGAACTTCATCTCTTGTATAAACAACCTATTTTAGCTTTTTCACACTCAATTAATTTCGCTGTAGTGTCATGATTCAGATTCCACAGTAGAACTAAATTTCTACATGCAATCCATCAGGATGAATGGGCTCAGTGTGTGATATTAAATAATGCCAATAAAAGTCCAAGTACTTCAGTCATAGTCAATTGGTTATAGCCTTACTTCTAACCTGGGCTAGGGCTCACTGATTTCTAGTTTAGAGATACTCCAACAATTTAGCCTACATAAACAATATGGTCTTTTCTTACCCAACAAAAAAAAGTTAATGTTGATTTTCTTTGCACGGTTATATTTGCCATATCCAGTATCAGCAGGAAATAGTTGCTATTTAACCCTCCAGTTCAGTGGGATAAAACAATTTGCCTCCATATTTTTGTATGATGCTACTGAAGGGATTCCTAGCTCTAGGATTTAACTTCACTGTATTCTGTATAAAACTGGCTTACTATTTTAAGTGACCAATTCAAACACACATCATATTTACAAGTAAGCCTCTCCTATCCCCCAAAATACTGTATTCTTAGTTTCTAAGCTTCTTGTTCAGAGAATAAAAATGTTAGTAGACAATTCAAACCTTTTCTTTAGCTACTTTTCTATGGAGTATGGTTTTACAGAAAACAGAAGCAAAAACAAAAACACAGCCTTCTTAGCATCATATTGTTAAGTTCACTAATTCTCAGGACAAAAATAAAGACAGGAATACACATACAGCACTTTTCACCACACTCTAAGAAAATTAAGAGCAGCAGCATCTAATGACTAGCTGTTCGTTAAGAGAAAGTATGTAATTATAAAACCATCTTTCTTTGGTTCAGTAACTGTAGAGAATACTTGCACTTTGATCATTTCTGTAATCTCCTCTTTATGCTGGGGACCACGATTTCTCCCCATAAACACACCAGTTGAGAAGTTCAGGGGTACACAACTGAGCCCAGTGGAACAGACATAAGACAGTTGGTCTACGCCTGATCTGTAGAGTACTAAGTATGGACTGTTTCCTGCTATACAGACCACAGAAGAAGAGGATTTGTATGAAATTTCTCATCTGGTCTACATGAGCTCATGCTGGATTTCAACCACCTGCAAAATGAGAATCCTAATAAATACAGAAATATTTTTCGTGTTTATGTTAGTGATTCATCTGACCCTTTGATTAACCTCAACCAAAAGTGAAATTCAGACTCTGAAATCAGACTTCATCTTCAGAATAAATTCACTCTATCCCCTGTAAGAACCACATATGTTTACAATACAATATTAAGGGAAATCATATCACTGAATATTGAATGGCTTTTTCATTTTAACATAAAATAATTCTATTAGTGGGCAAAACAGGCACACCTGGTAATATGAACTTATGAGTGAATGATGGCCTCATCACAGTGTAATGAAATGTCATTGTAGCAAATCAATAGGGTATGCAGTCTAACTCCATACTACTCAATATTTTCAAGTTCTACCTTCCCTTTTATTTGTTTGAAATGATAAGGTAAAACTATATTGATGCTGGTGAAGAGTATCCTAACCCTAGGAATTCAGGAAGTTTATTTTTGTAGTTAGACTATCAATTATAGGCCTAGTAATTAGATGAGGAGCATCCAAATGCAAATAATATGTAAAGCAGCTCCTAAGGCAAACTTCCTTTGAAGAGCATAACCACATGTTACAACAACTTTAGGAATGTAGATATTAAAACCCTCAACAAGTATTCTGGATTGCTTCTGGTGTGCTGGTAGGTTTCTGTTTCTGTTTTTTTGGCTGTTGCTTTGTGTTACACAAGAGTTTCTCCTTTTTGGTCATTGTTGTTTTACTCTTTTTGCATGAACTTTAAAGATCCAGAAGGACATTAGTGTTGCAATGTAGATATTTTATCTATAGAAGAGACATCATTTCACAGTAATGCAGGGGTTAAACAACATTACTGTTTTGGCAAATAGATTCCACCTTTCTCTTAACTGACTGGCAAGGAAAATAAGAACAGCATATAAAGTTAGAATTCTTAAAATAAAAATATGATAATTTGATGCTGAAGAGATAAATATGAGATTATGAGCCAACAAACATTTTTTTCCTTTGACCCTTCAAGAATATGAGCAGAGGCAACATCAATTTCAAATAAACAGGAAGACTGCTGAAACTGATAAGGCACAGTAAATTAAAACAAAGCACTGTAACTGTAAATTGTGGATTATATAAATCAGGTACTTTCATATGCTGTTGAACTTGCCTCTAAATGAGCTGAAAGAGAGTTTTAACTGGAATACATGGAGGAGGTCCTGAGTATATGCTATAAGGGTTTCTTAGAAGACTGCTTACTAGTCTAATAGAGCATAGTAATTGCCAAAATCAAATTAATTATGCTTGGTTATCACAAATCTAATATATATATTTTCCACAACAGGATTGTAGAGAAACTGATAGAAATTGATGATTTCCATTCTTATTTGGACTTTACAACTCTTGGGTACAAAATGGAGAACTAGTCAACTGGAAACTAAAAACGAAAGTTTAATGAAGTACAAAAATCCTATGTTTTACTTAGCGAAAAAGAAAATAATTTTCCTCTTTAGATGGACTGTATAGACCAGGAACAGTGGCTCACACCTATAATCCCAACATTTTGGGAGGGTGAGGTGGGAGGACCACTGAGACCCTTTCTCTACAAAAAACAAAAAATTAGCTTGGCACAGTGGTGCACGCCTGTAGTCCCAGTTACTCAGAAAGCTGAGGTGGGAGGATCACTTGAGCTTGGGGTGAGCTATGGTCACACCACTACACTCCAGCTTGGGTGACAGAGCAAGACCATGTTTCCAAAAAAAAAAAAGATGGAATGTATTAAAAAAAATTCCCTAACCTTTTCTATGGTTTATAGTTTATATTCTACTAAGTCATACTTATAACCATTATAAAAATTAATATCTAATATTATTTATTGATTAGTATAATATGCAAGCAAACTTGTACAAAGATTCTGTCTTTTCTCTAGGCAGTTATGAATACCATTAATTCTCTGAACAACATCAAATTAGGAAGATAGAAATTTTTCTTATGCTAGATTGCAATTAAAGAACCACAAGTACAAATACAGCACAGAGGGAGGCCAGCCAAATCTTTTTGTTTGTTTGTTTTTTATCTGTTGTTTTTTGTTTTTTGAGATGGAGTCTCACTCTATCACCCAGGCTGGAGTGCAGTGGCTCGATCTTGGGTCACTGCAACCTCTGCCACCCAGGTTCAAGCGATTCTCCTGCCTCAGTCTCCCGAGTAGCTGGGATTATAGGAGCCTGCCACCATGCCCGGCTAATATTTGTCTATTTTTTTTAGTAGAGACAGGGTTTCACCATGTTGGCCAGGCTGGTCTCAAACTCCTGACCTCAGGTGATCTGCCCACTTCAGCCTCCCAAAAAGCTGGGATTACAGGCATGAGCCACCGCGCCCGGCCAAGGGCCAGAACCTCGAAGGCAGTGGCTAGGGTGTTTGCAGAATGGAGTGGTGACTAATATTGCATATTAGGTAATTTATATGAGAGTCTTTCATTCCAGTAACATTATTAAATAAAAGCGATTTTTCCCAAAGTTTAATTCACTTATAATAATTTTATTTTAATATGGAAAACTCACTTCTAAATGACTTTCACAGTTACTATTTTAGCTTTTAGGCAGCAAAACAGCTCAATGGAACTTCATGTAAGAAATATTTTTAATAGAATTCATCATCTGAACAAAATGCTGACAAACCAGTCATACAAATATTGAGTTAAATAATTACTTAAAAAGCTCACTTATATTCTCATACTGAAAATCATATATTTTTACCTTGAGAAGGTATGTGGGGATATTGCTGAAATCTACGGGCAGCTTCAAAAGGAAACGAGCTGAAAATTCACCAGTCTGTAAAAAGAAAGTTATAATAATAAGATTAAAATCAAAAATAGATTATGAAGTGACAATTATAGCCAAGGCCACAAGTTCAACCTGTTCAAAATGCAGGCATCTTCAATTTGGTTTTCCTAACGTTAGGCAAGAAAAGAAGGTTGGAAAAGTAGGGGAGGATCAGAAAGAGTTCTTAAATTATTAGTTACTAAAAAGCACAATTTGAGTTTTTAAAATCTGCATTTTAAATGTACAATAAAATTATAATTTAGCAGAATTGCCTTTTTGTTTCTTAAAAGTATGAAAAGAATATATGAATGTATGATTATTATTTTTTTAATCCCAAACAATAAAGACAGACCTACCCCTTTGATTCATTTGTTTTTATTAAAGCATTCAGACCACATCACTAATATTTATAAACCACAAGGCTGATGGCATACACCACCATCCTTTCTGGATGTACATGCAAAGGTCAAACTTCTACCTAGCAGTGGGTATTCAAAATAAGTTTCTCATCTCCTGAAAGTCCACTATATCATTATCATTAACTGATGTTTTTCATAACTCCCTCCATGAACTAATCTCTATAGGAAAGAGGTACGGAGGTTTGGCGATTTAAAACATTTAACTAAGCTATAAATAATAGCTTCTATTTGCTAAAACAGAAAACTCATTTAAAAGAAAAACGTCTGCCTCTCAATTTTTATGACAGGAAAGCCTAGGGAATCACTTTTTTTTTTTTTTAACTTTGTCATAGTCTAGAGGAGGAGTTTTCAAACTAGATCATGCAGAGATCTAGAGGTGCTAGAGAACCTCTGCAAAGGTAACAAAGATGCGTCCTGACCTGGTGGAATCCTCGGTCTTCCATCCTGTCTCACTGCAAGTGTGCAGCTCAGCCTGGTATTTTGACATGGTGTGTTTTACTTAGACATATTTGAAAAAAGAACTCCAGAAATGATCCAGAACTACTCAGAGTGGATGTCTATCCTTTTAATATTGTAACTACCAAAGAGTTCCCGCTCTTTAAAAAATGAGCAGCACAAACTCCCCTAAACACATCTTAAAACATAGCAAGCGTTTACAAATATTTGTATGAGTGGGTGGATGAATGCACCTAGGCACACATGCATAGCACTTTAGACAGTTTCACCACAGCCTCCACTCCATTCTACAAACACCCTAGCAAGTGGTTTCAAGGTTCTGGCCCTTGCCCGGGCATGGTGGCTCATGCCTGTAATCCCAGCACTTTGGGAGGCCAATGCAGGCAGATCACCCACGGTCAGGACATCGAGACCAGCCTGGCCAACATGGTAAAACCCCATCTCCACTAAAGAATACAAAAATTAGCCGGGCGTGGTGGCACGTGCCTGTAGTCCCAGCTACTCGGGAGGCTGAGGCAGGAGAATCACTTGAACCTGGGAGGCAGAGTTTGCAGTGAGCCAATATTGCACCATTGCACTCCAGCCTCGGCAACAAGAGCGAAACTCCGTCTCAAAAAACAAAAAAGGTTATGGCCCTAATTTTAAAACTCTGATCTAAACCTTAAAAATACAGACAGAAATATATTGAGCTCTGAAGATAATAATAATAACTAATATCTGCCTAAATGTTGTTTGTTTTACCGCTCACAGCATCTTTTAACTTACACCAATCTCTGGCTAAGGACAGAGCATTTCTTCATTACCATAAGCCTAACCCTGTGACAGACAAGGCGGAAATGAGAATTGAATGGACAGAATCAAAGCTGAGGCAAGCCAGAGAGAGTGATAGAAGCCACTGTGCCACCAGGAATGCCAATGGTGAGAAAAAGGATGGATGCTCAGAGCTGAGTAGCTATTCTCAGTATTGAACGCCATTATGTGCAGGCTACTCACAACTCAACACTTGGGAGAATACTTAAGAGCCACTAAGGATCTACAAATAGCTCATCATGGTGGGTGGGAGAAGGTTTGTGAGATCCTATTATAATTCTTGCCTTCTGTTACAGTCCAAGATTACCAAAAGGTGTGGTTTTGGTATTATGCTGAGCTCCTAGATGACTCTAAAACTAACATACTCTGGTAAGTGTGGTTCTTTGGATCAAGACACAGCTAAACCTAAAAAGGTCTGTTTTTAAGTACAAGGGGTCATACTTTGAAAGGGGTAAGTGTAGAGGCAACAATAACAGCATAGAGTTAAATGGGAGCTTATAAAAGGGACACCTAGCCCAGTGAGAATCTGGGAGTGTAGAAGGAAAGACAGAAAAGTCTTCCCTTAGCACTGTGTACAGTGCCACAGAAGAAGGACCACTCATAAAAGAATACATGCTCCAGGCCAGGCACATTGGCTCATGCCTGTAATACCAGCACTTTGCAAGGCCAAGGCAGGCGGATCACAAGGTCAGGAGTTCGAGACCAGCCTGGCCAATATGGTGAAACCCCGTCTCTACTAAAAATACAAAAATTAGCCAGGCATGGTGGCATGTGCCTGTAATCCCAGCTACTGGGGCGGCTGAGGCATGAGAATCCCTTGAACCAGGAGGAGGCGGAGGTTGCAATGTGCCAAGATCACACCACTGCACTCTAGCCTGGGCGACAGAGCAAGACTCCGTCTAAAAAAAAAAAAAAAACATGCTCCCAACAACTGTCCACATTCTCTTTCTCCTATATAATTAATTTTTCCCTTCTTTACTCAATCACTTTCATCAGCATATAAACATCATTTTTTTTATTTTTTTGAGACGGAGTCTCACTCTGTCCCCCAGGCTGGAGTGCAGTGGCGCGATCTCAGCTCACTGCAAGCTCCACCTCCTGGGTTCACGCCATTCTCCTGCCTCAGCCTCCCGAGTAGCTGGGACTACAGGCGCCCGCCACCACGCCCGGCTAATTTTTTGTATTTTCAGTAGAGACGGGGTTTCACCATGTTAGCCAGGATGGTCTTTATCTCCTGACCTCGTGATCGGCCCATCTCGGCCTTATAAACATCATTTTTAAAATGTTTCCATTCACTTCATATCCTTCTTCAGCTCCCATTTCATTTCTCTGTTTTACTTTAAAAAATAATCACCTGTAAAAAGTTAATCTATATTTGAGGTCTACATTTCCTCTTTTATTATTTTCTCTTAAGCCCTCACCAGTCAGCCTTTCCCTACCACCACTCCACCAAAACAGTTCCTCAAGGTCACCAATGACCTCCCCATTGCCAAATTCAATGATCATTTCTCGGTCTTTATCTTAGTGTTCTACCAGCAGCATTTGACACAGCTGATCACTCCTTTCCTGGAACATTCTTTACTTGGTTTCCAGAGTCCCAGTTTCTCTACTTCACTGGCTCTCCCTCTGGTCTCCTCAATCCTTGAACATTGGAGATTGGGGTATGCCTGGGCTTAACTCTAAGACCCTTTTCTTTATTTACATGCCCAGATGATCTCATTCAGGCTCATGACTTTAAATAATGTATATGCTGATGACTCCCAACTTGTGTATCTTCATCCCAGACCTTTTTTTAAATTCAAATTTCATTTATCCAACTCCTATAAACAAAACTAAATTCCTGATTTTGTGCTCTTCTCTTGATATTTATTCCTCATTTCAGTAAATGGCAATTCCATTCTTTCAGTCACGCAGGCCAAAAACCTAGAGTCATTTTTGACTTCTATCTTTCCCTCTCACCTCACATTCAAAGTGGCGGCAAAATCTTGTTAACTCTCCCTTCAAAATATATCCTGAGTCTCCCTTCAAAATATTGACTTTTGGACTCTCCCTTCAAAATATATCCTGAGTCCAACCACTTTTCACCACCTCTCTAACCACCTGATCTGAACCACCTTTATCTCTACGCCTGGACAACTGCAATTGCCCCTAACTCTGTCAGCCCTTGTTCACCTGCAGTTTATTCTCATGACAATAGGCAGAGTGATTCTTTCAACATGTCACTTGGATTCTAATCCTCGTTTGCTCAAAACTACCAAATGGTCAGGATTTAGCTCCTTTACAGAGTAATTTGACAAGTTAACAATTGAGCAAAGATGGAAAGAGGGTAAGAAACAAACCATGTGGAACTGAAGGAAAAACACCCCAGAGAACAAGTATAAAAAGGGTTGATGCAGGCGTGTGCCTGTGTTCAGGGGATGGCAAAAAGGTCGGGGTTACAGGAGCAAATAAGCACTAACACGGATCAAAGTCACCCAGAAACTCTCTCCTCCATGGTATGAGCAATTTCTAAACCCCTGGAGGATGTGCAACAATCATTCATAAAATTAGTGAATAAGAAAATGGCTACTACATCTATGTGGAACAACTGTGAAGTTATTCCTGGGGATGTTGAGGCAAGCTTTTAAAAAGTACCATGAGATTCAAAGAGTTTGGGGAAGGGAATTGGAGGGATGATGATAAACCAAACTCAAGTCATTTCTTCATTTTCAGTTTATAAAGCAAACCACCTACCAATAAATAAATAACCATTTCTGCCTACTAGTGTAAAATGTCAACCTGTAACCTGTAAATTAAAATGCAATTTGAAAACTTTTAAACTCAGAGGTGTGTATATATATATGCCTGATTTTACATATACATACATAAATAAACAACAACAAAAGTGAAATGTAGGATTTTAAAAGTTAAAATAACTCTTGTACATATAAGGTAATAGGAAAGATAATTACATATTTAGCACTTGGACTCATTTGAACTGCTAGTTATTTTAGTCCATGCACTGCATTTTAGCTCTTTTGCCCTATTTTAGCTTGTACAATGTATTTTTATTCTACCAGCTATTTTAGACCCACATTCTTTTAAAAACTCTTAGATGATCCCTACTTTATTCCTTCTCAAAATGTTGATCCTAGAATTAATACAAATTTGTGTTTATTGGCAACAGGCTGATTTACACAACTAATGTCATACTGAAAGAAATGTTGGTCCCAGGACTAATATAAATTTTTGTTTATCAGCAACAGGCTGATTTACACAACTAAATTCATAATAAAAGAAACAATACTATGAAGGGAATTTGGGAAACCATAAAAAGCACTTTATGATTGCCAACTTTCAAGCCTATCATACATTCCTTATTTTGCCATTGGAAGAACAAAGAAAACTCAGCACTTGTTTCTGACAGCACTGGAAATGTTGAACGCTAAGACTCAAGAATTCAGTTTTTCGGCCGGGCGCGGTGGCTCACGCCTGTAATCCCAGCACTTTGGGAGGCCGAGGCGGGCGGATCACGAGGTCAGGAGATCGAGACCATCCCGGCTAAAACGGTGAAACCCCGTCTCTACTAAAAATACAAAAAATTAGCCGGGCGTAGTGGCGGGCGCCTGTAGTCCCAGCTACTCTGGAGGCTGAGGCAGGAGAATGGCGTGAACCCGGGAGGCGGAGCTTGCAGTGAGCCGAGATCCCGCCACTGCACTCCAGCCTGGGCGACAGAGCGAGACTCCGTCTCAAAAAAAAAAAAAAAAAAAAAAAAGAATTCAGTTTTTCATTCTGGCACTGATTTTCCTTATGACCTATAAGCTAATCATCTTCTGTGAAACTGAGTACATGATAATTTTAAAACAATCTTAATGTAAAATTAAGTTATAAACTGTAAATGAAGAGCAAAACAAGTGAAAAATCCTTGTTCTACCTCAGATAATGACTTTTCATGTGGTTTTATATTTGAATTTCCAACAGCTATTCAAGCAATTTATGGTCACTCAGTTGTAATGTCAAAGATTGCTTTCACAGCAATCTTTCCTGTAAGCTGAAAATGAGACATTTAGATGCCGCCAAGTGAACAGAATAATTTGATTTTTTTTTTTTGTCAGTCCTTGGTCAAAATCTTCTCTTGGATAGATGCAGAAAATTATCTAACCTATGACTGTTAAAATGTCAGCCTTTCTGCCAACTGTCTTAATGGCAATTTCCCCAGCATTAGCAATAAATATGTGCATCTTTCCTTTTTTCAAGTTATAGTACGTTGGCAAGCAACTTAAACTAACAAGACTCTGAGTTTTGGCAATTTATTAAGTCTAAGCTTTGCTTTTGGTAATCACAGCTGTGACAGTTTTCTTCTCCTTTTAGAAGTGACAGGTAGACATTTTGTGCAGAATGGAGTCCAAGTTCAGGTTGTTCTGTAAGGGAAAATTTTACTTCCTTTCTTAGAGGCACTTCCCTTGTCAACAAACAAGCTTTTATCTGAAATTGACTGCTCTTACCACTTAGACAGCTAAAAGCTAAGAAACACTCAAGTGATTATAACTTTAGCTGGGTGACAAACTGGTAAGGCTGATTCTTCAAATGGACTCTGAAAACCAGTGAGCCTAAATCTGGAGATTGTTCCTTAGCACATGCATACATATACACTAAATGTGAAAAGGAAAGTCAAAGTTAGTCTAACTAGAATTTTATAATTTACAAAATGTTTTCTAAGATATGTCATTTAATTATCCCAAAACCCTGCTTGGTAGATACAATTCATTTATACTTAGAAATGAAAAAACTGAGGCCTAGAACAGTCAAGAAACTTGCCTACAGTTATTGAGAGAGTAACAAAGAGTCACAGAGCTCAACCTCAAGACTCAAGGTGTATTCATCCATTCACGAGTATGTATTAAGGGCCTAAAATGTGTCAGGCACTCCGCTAGGCATCTAGTGAGTAAAAGAGACAGGACCACTGCCCTTTTGGAGCTTATAGTCTAGTAGGTGAGTCAGATATCAATCAAAATAATCACTCCTATCAATTATAACCTGTGTGGAGAAATGGGAATACTTAAACACTGTTAGTGGGAATGTAAGTTAGTTCAGGCAGGTGGAAAGCAGTTTGAAGATTTCTCATAGAACTAAAAATAGAACTACCATTTGATCCAGCAATTCTACTACTGGGTACATACCCAAAGGAAAATAAATCGCTCTACCAAAAGGACACCTCCACTTATATGTTTATTATAGCACTGTTCACAATAACAAAGACATGGAAACTACCTAGGTGCCCATCAGTGGTGAACTGGATTTTTAAAATGTGGTACATATACACCATAGAATACAACACAGAAATTAAAAAAGAACAAAATCATGTCCTCTGCAGCAACATGGATATAGCTGGAGGTCATTATCCTAAGGAAATTAATGCAGAAACAGAAAACCATATACCACATGTTCTCACTTATAAGTGGGAGCTAAACACTGAGCACACACACACATAACGATGGGAACAACAGACACTGGGGACTCCAGAAGGAGGGAGGAAAGAAAGGGGACAAGAGCTGAAAAACTTCCTATTGAGTACTATGTTCACTATTTGGGTGGCAAGATCAATAGAAACCAAAACCTTAACATCACACAACATAACCCTGTAATAACCCTGTACGTGTACCCCCTGAATGTAAAATACAAAATAAATAAAATAAATTATAACCTGTGATAAATGCTATCAAAGGGCACAGTGCTCTGAGAGCAAATTCCAGGAGGAAATGAACCATCTAGGGTTGGGGGCTCATTACTTGGAGGGAATTTTTTTTAAAGCTAAGTCAAAAGACCACATGGAAAAATAAATAACACCAGGCAGGAAAAGTCTAAAGAAGAAAAGCAGTGAGAGGGAACTGTACATAAAGCATAATTTTTCTCTGGTTACTTAAGATTTTCTCTTTATGTCTGGTTATCAGTATTTTTACTATAATGTTTTGTTTTAGTTTTTCCTTGCATTTATCCCAGATGGGGTTTGTTGAGCTTCTTGAATCTGTAAATTTCTGTCTTTCACCATATTTGGAAATGTGTTATTTTGTCAAATACTTTCCTGCCTTCTCCCTTTCTCTTCCCCTTCTAGGACTCCCGTTTCTTATATATTAAACATTTTGATACTATCCCATAATATCAAGGCTCTGCTTTCCCTTCTTCCAAGTATCAATGTCCATCCAGTATCTGCCTGCTTTGATCACTCTCTAGTGTTTTCAGGCAAATGGCTCTATATTTTGCTCGGAGCTCTGAGCTGTTGTGAAGAGTTAGGTCAACAGGAGCTACTTGGCCGTGACAAAAAGTGCAACTTGACAGAAATCTACAAATATTTTAATATACTGTTGACAATACTGTGGAGAAACAACCACTTTCATATATTGCTGCTGGTTTAATAAACCTGTATAAACTTTATGGAAGTTACTTTGACAATAAAATTATGAACACATAATCTTTGATCCAGTAATTCCACTTCTAATTATTTATCTTACAGACATACCTGAACACATGCAAAGTGACATATATACAAGATTATTTATTACAGTATTGTTTGTAATAGCAAAAGATTAGAAGCAAACAATATCCAATAATAGAGTTCAGATGTAATAATAATTCAATTATACAATGTAATAATATACAATTGTAAAAAAAGAATGAGGGAGTTCTATATATGTTTATACAGAAAAAATCTCTGAGCTATATTGAGTTAAAAGGAAGATCCAAAACAGTGCATAATATACGTTACCATTTGCATAAAAAGGGGGAATATATATTAGTATTTGCTTATATATGTACAAACTAACTCTGAAAATCTATACTAGAAAAAATTTATATTAGTGCTTACCTGGACAGGAGGAA
Source organism: Homo sapiens (assembly GCF_000001405.40). Taxonomy (NCBI): domain Eukaryota; kingdom Metazoa; phylum Chordata; class Mammalia; order Primates; family Hominidae; genus Homo; species Homo sapiens. The sequence continues at coordinate 28,037,193 of NC_000002.12, read as the reverse complement.
AGTGGTATGATTTGGGTGGACAAAGGACAAAGATGGGAGGGAGACTTTTCACTATATTACTTTACATAGACTTTGATTTTTGAATAATATGAATACCTTATCCATTCGAAAAAATTTTAAGGAATTTAAAAAAAACTAAAAGCGTATATAATAAAATGTCCACAATTCATGCATTATTCATTCATTCATTCATTGAACAAATATTTACTGAGCACATACTGTGCCAAGTACTAGGCTAGATAATGGAGAACTTAAGACAAAACAGTCTATGTGTCCTCAAGGAACTTAAAGTCTATTTTGACTAGACTGGCAATTAAACAAAATAGTACGACATGGTAAGTGTTTTGACAGAGATATTCACAGGACGCTTTGGAAGTAATTTAATCGGGACACTCAGTTTCCAGTGACAGAACTCCAATTCAAACTAATTTGAACAAACAAAAGAGAATTTATTGAAAGGATATGAGGGATCTCATGAAACCTAAGGATAAAAACATAGCATGGCCTCAGTTCCAAGGATTCTAATACCCACAGAATTTTCTCTTAGTCTCTTGTCTCTGCTGTCTCTGTACTTCATTTTCCTTTCTATTTGCCAGCTTCTGATTCTTTTGACCAGATGTTATTAGAAAAAAGTTCCCAGATTTACATGTTACAGACCAATTACTCATACAGAGACCAATCTCACTCCCTCAGTACTAACTCCAAATTCCCAGGGAAGAATTCTGTTTGGCTTAGGTTAAGCCTCCCTGATCTAATCAACACATTTCCACAGTTCTTTGAAGTAAATAAGTTAATGGTACCATGAATTCTTGAAAATAATTGAAAAACTAGGAAACTCTTTTCTGAGGAAGGAAACAGCTTGCATCATTTGTACATTTCCGAAAACAATTTTTTAAACACCTTAAGAGTTTTCGTACAGAATACTTGAAATGTAGGATTCTTTTTGTCTTTTGCCTTTTAGTACATGAAAAAAAGGCATTAAAACCCGCCTCAGCTGGTCCTTGGACAACACTTGTCCATTTCCTTCATGGCGATAACACTGTGCAAGGAGTGCACCCTACATCTAAATGGCCACCAAAGAGATGGGGCAATGCACCCATCAGTTCAGAACAAATGAGTGGCCTCACAAAGATAAGTAAGGGGGCGCAATTAGAGTCCTTCCTCACATGCTGTTCTGAAAAGTATAGGCAAAGGAAATGGAAAGGATTTCCTTTGTGTTTCGTATGCTTCCTGAAAATAAGATCTTTTCCACTTGATGCATCCTGCTGCTGAAAGTAACTTGAATTTCCTACTGATACCTCTACTATTTAAAAAACAGTAACAGAGTTCCTTTGGAATATCAGTATGATTTTAAAAGTTATAATCTACACCTTTAATATTTTGAGGTATAAAGTAATTTAGGTATCCACACACTACTTTTTATTAATAAGGTTAAAAACCAGAAATATAAGCTATTGTAAGCAAGATCTTAAGTATTTCCATTGACATGCAAGTCAAAATTCAGTACAACAAATTCCATTACAAAGACAATTAAAAAGGGAGACACTGTCATGGTTCATTTATTTTACATAATGTCCAACTCCTAACAGTTCCGTGTGGTTAAAAACAAAACTAAACAAATATGGTCAATTCCTTGGAGTATACTGTAGCATATCTGACCGCCACACTACACCCTTTTCAAAGGAGCCACCACATGTTAATCCCCATGTCAAATGCCATCAGGACATAACTCCCAAGCAGCAAAAATTAAAGGGAGATTATAGGTGAAGGTCCCTGCATGCCCTGCTATATATGGCTGACTGGCATGACCAGAGCACCTACTACATCCTCATGCCAGTAGGGGAAAGGCCATCCACTTCCAGGCTCCCCAGATATTTTTATCTTTCTCTTAGCAACTCTTGCCCTCCTCTCCTATCACGCTAGACCAGTGCTGTCTGAAAGAAAAATAATGCAAAGTACAAATGTGAGCCATATATATAATTTAAGATTATTTAACATTTTCTAATAGTCACAATTTAAAAGGCAAAAAAAGACAGGTGAAAAGCTAATAATACATCCCAATATATCTAAAATATTAGCATTTCCACATGCAATCAACATAAAAATCATTAATGAGTTTTTTTGTACTAATTCTTCAAACTCTGGTGTGTATTTCCCACGTGCACACATCTCAGTTCAGACTAGCCACATTTCAAATGCTCGATAGTCACATGTTTGACTAGAAGCTCCTGTATTGGACAGCATAGTTCTAGACATTTTCCCATTAACGTTAATCCCGACATTAAGGTAAACACTCCCTGCCACAAATACCTAAAGACCTACGTAAGCTGCCAAATACCATAAACCTGAAAGATTCCTCACAAGCAGATTGATAAATGTCAGCGGGTTAATGGGAATGACCATGAGACAGCCTCTTTTAGCCAATATCTTTTTTCTTTTTCCTCCAAAAACTGTCTAAACCTATTGCCTTTCCTTCCTCTTCTCCACCTCTCTGCCTAATTCTCTGAAATCTGTTTTCCCATCCTCAGAAGTCCATCAGAACTGCTCCTGGTAAGATAAGCAACACTCTCTTTTTCTGATTTTCACTTTTACCTTGCTCTCTACACTTTATCTGCACCTTGGAGGTCACAGCCTCTATTGGTCACATATGGTAACTTTATGATTAACAGCATTTTGAGAGATCCTACAGGAACAATCATTGAAGCGGCACTTATTGAGCACCTGTTATAATAACTTACAACAAGAATATACCAAAAAAAGCTAATAGTAATAATAACACTTTGTATTACTTGACTCCATATTTACTTAACTCTCTGTTTCCCACACAAGATCTAATTTAATCTTTGTGTCAAGGTCCAGACAACAATGTAGTTATCTCCAGGAAAGTGACACATGGAAAAACCTAGAGTCACACAAAAAGAACGGGTGGCAGAATGAAAACCCAAAGCTCCTGCCCCCTAGATCACTCTCCCTCTCCAACACATCTTCAAATGGCCTCTGTGTAGAGGAGCTCACACTCAAACATTGCTCAGATACTTTCCCTTTGCACATGATATTGCAGCACGATGACATGAGGGAAGCTTAAGACATTAACTCAAGTGAGGAGATACCATAAAATGGCTCCTTTCTTTTCTCCACAATATTTTTAATGTTGCCAGAGCTTAATGGATAAGCCAAAGATTTTTAAAACCTTACTAGGATTTGGGTCAGATACAAGCAAAAAAGGTAATTGTCTCACATCCCCATTATAAAAGCATAAATCATTATTAAGGAAAAAATATGTTGCTTAAAAAACTGTTTTCTCTCACAGATCACCCATTGATGATTTTTATATGTAAACTATATGGTTTTGGAATACCTCAAAACTTACATTTCATATCTCAAAAAAAAAAACACTTTAATCAAAATGTTAGGTATGATAAGCCAACTTTAAGTTCTGGAAATCAAAACAAATCAAAATAAAATTCACAAATTTGCTTATTGTGCTTTGTTGCAATTAATAAACACTGTGTTTGAATATCTGTCCTCTCCAAAACTCATGCTGAAATTTAACCCCCAATGTGGCAGTATTAAGAGGTGGGGCCTTTCATGGGTTACTGGGTTAATGGATTCATGGGTTATCATAAGAGGGGAACTGGCGGCTTTACAAGAAGAGAGAGATTGACCTAAGCGAGCATGCTAGCATGCTTAGCCCTCTCGCCATGTGATGCCTTGCACCATCTCAGGACTCTGCACAGAGTCCCCAATATCAAGAAGGCTCTTATCAGATGCAGCCTCTCAACCTAGGACTTCTCAACTTCTATAACTGTAAGGAATAAATTCCTTTTCTTTATAAGTTATTAGTTTCGGGTATTCTGTTGTAAGCAACAGAAAATGGACTAAGACACACTGGTTCTTCTGATACACACATCCATGACAAAAATGTTAACAAGGCAATATAAAATAGAGATAATAAATAATAATAATAGTGGCAATATAAAATGAAACCTTAGGATTTACCCATTGAGAAAATGTATGATGTATCTTTTTTTGATATATCAAAACAGGATATATACTTTCAATAGCAGTTCTTACATTATGGGAATTCGTCACTTTAAAATTATGATCTTAAAAATAGCTCTGCTCAAACGGGTAGCAGTAGAGATCTTTGTGGTAATGGAATATCTGCATCTTGATTTCAATAGTGATTACAGGAAATTACGTGTGTGATGAAGTGGCACAGAACTATACACATACATTGTACCAATGTCAATTTCCTGGTTTCTGTATTTTTTTATAGTTACAGAAAATCGAACCACTGGGGGAAACTGAGTGAAGGATACTCAGGATCTCTACTTTGCAACTTCCTATATATCTATAATTATTTCAAAATGAAAATGTTTACAAAATATAAAATAAATACACTTTTAAAAAATGACTCCGAGCATGCAGGCAGAAAAGTCTTCTTCATTCTTAACATTAAGCTTGCATCCCAATATGCATCTGTTTTCACCTGTTTAGAGAAACAGGGGTTTCCTAAACATTATAGTTTTATAATTATTATTACTATTTCTTAAACATTATAAAACCAGCATAGACAAGGACTACAATGTCTAAAAATCATTAAAAGAGATGAGCAAAGCAATAAGGAGAAACAATTTGGTAAAAATACAACGGTAAAGAATTAGACAATAAAGAATGGGTTTTTTTTGGTTAATGTTTACTTTCAAATGTGTGCTTGCTCAAACTTCTAAATGGAGGTTCAGGGGGCAGGGAGAAGAGTGTCTGCATAGGGTGGGGAGAATAGTGTATTTCAAATTCGCAGACTTGTCGGAAGACTGATAGTAAATCAGAGCCCTTTTCCTCTTCTACATGGTAACATTTTCCTCATGCCAGCTGATAGTAAAAGGAAGAAGCATATCAGGTTTTTCAAAGCCTCATACTTTTAGAGCAGGAATGTTTTTAAGAATATAAATGTATGTGGCAGAAAGAAAAATTCAGTGATGACAACAGTAAAGACCATCCTCTCTAACAGATACAGACCTGCATAATGCAAAGGGATTAAATAATCATTCCTAGTCTTAGATTCTTTATAGCAAGCATTTATCAGATGGACTACTTGGACCAGAAAAAACTAAAATACTTGAATTTCCATTCAGATCAGGAAGAACCTATTGATTCTTATAATGTTTCATTTAGAGAATATACTATTTTCATGTTTTAATTAAAAAATATCCATTTATTTCATACAAAAATGTCCTCATGCTGCAAAATGCCACTAAGACATAATAGATGTGTTTTACTGATCAGTAAGCCAGTTGAATATATGCTTACAATTCTATTCCCCATATATGTCATGTCCCTAAGTTTTCCCCAGTCATACAACCCACTGAACATCTCTCTTGAGAGAGCCATCTACGTCCACCTTCCTTCAGGGTCTAGCTCAGTTGGCCAGTAAAGGCTTTCCTTGGTTACTCCCTTCCTCAGTGATTGTCTCTTCTGCTGAATGCTCACACAGCCTGTATATTCCATTTGAGATGTAATCTATCCAGTATTGTTCAAATTCCTCTTTTAGAGATACAGATTAAACCTTCCAAATTGGATTTTAACAGTCTCAGGAGCCAAGGCCATATCTGATCTACTTTATTTTTTTTTAACCCAAAACCTAGCATAGTAGACTTTCCATAAATCTATTAGTCCCATACTGGCTGAGCCCTACTAAAGTGCATCTTGTTAGTTTGGTGCAGCATTCCAGCACACAAAAATAATTTTTAATGTTGATTCTGTAATCTTGCACAATAGCTATCTTTTCAAGCTCTGTGCTAGCAGAAAAAAGAAATGCATACTTTGTATGGGTTCATTCAAGTCCCTAACAAAACCCTTAACAAGACGGGGTCAAAGGAAAAGCCCTGTGACATTCCACGAAACACCTGAGGCTGGTAAGAGTTATACCCAAACTTTTAGGTGGAACGCTTCCACAGATCCCAACAACTAAGAAAGGAGCATAAGTCAGTGGAATCCTAAGAGAGAATGACCAAGTGCCTCGCTGAAAATGAGATCATCTAAGTTTATGATACTACCCTTCCTTAAAGAAGTAAACTAAGTTTGTCATGACAGTTTCCCAGTTACCCAACTATTTTTCCAATTGACTACTGCATTTTTATTTTAATGTTTGCAAATCATCTACTTAAAGATCTGAACTTAATTTCTTTAAAAATCTCCAGGATGTTGTTATTTATAACAGTCTTCTAGGATCTTTCTGCTTCTCTAAAATTTCTCAAAGATAATGTCCCAGAGAGCATATCTGCAAGTTTCTTTAGTACCCTGAAACGGTTTCCTTTAGAGCTTCCAGAAGGCATGCAGCCTTGCCAACCCCTTGATTTTGGCCAAGGGAGACCCATTTTGGACTTCCGCCCTCCAGAACTATGACATAATAAGTCTGTGTTGTCCTAAGCCACCAAGTTTGTGGTAATTTTTACAGCAGCAATAGGAAACTAATACAGTCCCTGATTCAAAAAAATCTTGGCTCAAAATCAAGCTCCTTTCTTTCTGCCAGGGTCCAGTGTTTATCTCCAGACTCTTGGTCTATATTTTTCCTCCATTAGCAGGCTGTCCTTTAATATTCCTGAACCCTCATGCCAAGCTCTAATTTGTTCATCCCTCAAGACTCACTTTTATACCCTGTTTCTTGATCTTCCCTGATTCCAACTCATAGTTTTACTTCTACAGACTCAGCTACCATTTCTACTAGGCCTTCCCTAGGCCTGGTCTGCTGTAAGCTTTGCCTTGTTACAGGATTCTCAGTTTCTTTACTTCACTTGAATCCATAACCATTGCCCTAATGTTTACAAACTACTTAACATCAAATCAAAATAAACTGAGATAAGTGTAGCAGTAGTAGGTTTTGTAAGTAAAGAAAGGAATATCGGTAACATTAAACAGAAAGTTTAAAAAATACTATAAATACAAACTATCTGCTTGAAATGAATTTAAACTTCTACACCTAGATGAACTACAACTCAAGTATTAGCTGAGCCACTGAATAACATTTTGAAAATTATTAGGTAACAAACGGTGCCATAAAACTGGATTATATTCAAATTCACTATTATTATTAAAAAAGGGGGAATGAGACAGGAAGGCAAATTCTAAAAACCAAAGACTGGTTAGTTTGACAGCGATTCCTGTTTTCAGATGAGCCTGTCAGCACTAAAGACAACACATGTTCACCAAGAATTAACCTAACACCCATTTATGTAAGGACAATTAAGTTGATTATTTAATAGGAAAATGCTGGGGATAGAGGCTAAATTAAGTTCAACAAAGTTTTCCTTATGAGCCATATAAACATATTAACATTTCAAAACAATCCATAGTTTAAGTCTGAACCATGCACTGTTGATGGGAATGTAAAATAGTGCAGCCCTTAAGGAAACAGTATGGAAATTCCTCAAAAAATTAAAAATAGGATTATATATAATCTAGCAATCCCACTTGTAGGTATATATCCCAAAGAACTCAAAGCAGAATCTCAAAGAGATAGTTGCACACCTATGTTCAATGTAGCATGATTCACAATAGCCAAGAGGTAGAAGCAACCCAAATGTTCACTGATGGATGAATGGATAAGTAAAATATGGTAAATACACTCAATTGAACACTATGCAGCCTTAAAAAGGAAGGAAATCCTATCACATGCTACAACATTGATGAACCTCAGACATTATGCTAAGTGAAATAAGCAGTCACAAAAAAACAAATACTATACAATTCTACCCATATGAAGTATCTAAAGGAGTCAAAACCATAGAAACATAAAATAGTAAAGTGACTGCCAAGCGCTGGGGGGAGGAGGAATTAGTGTTTAATGGCTTCCTTTGCAAGATGAAAAAGTTCTAGAGATCTGTTGCACAACAATGTGAATATACTTAACACTACTGAACTGCACACTTAAAAATAGTAAAGACGGCAAATGTAGTGTTATGTGTCTTTTACTGAAATATAAATTCAAGACTTTACAAAAGGAAAAAAACCTTGAACTGAACAAACAACTTGATTTGTAATAAGAAAAATTTTAGTCATGCTGATTTGAAGGCATTAATCATGTGTAAAACCTTAAAATCATAACCTTTAAGAAAAAGCCGAAGAGGCCAGGCATGGTGGCTCACATCTATAATCCCAGCACTTTGGGAGGCCAAGGCGGGTAGATCACCTGAGGTCATGAATTCAAGACCAGCCTGACCAATATAGTGAAATCCCGTCTCTACTAAAAATACAAAAATTAGCCGGGCGTGGTGGCATGCACTTGTAGTCCCAGCTACTCAGGAGGCTGAGAGAGGAGAATTGCTTGAACCCAGGAGGCGGAGGTTGCAGTGAGCCGAGAGTACGCCACTGCACTCCAGCCTGGGCCACAGAGTGAGACTTCGTCTCAAAAAAAGAAAAAAAAGAAAAAGAAAAAGCTGAAGAATAAAAGCCGGAGTGTTATTTAGCCTAAAAAAGACAGGGAAACCTAAAAGAATTAGCAGAGAAGAGCACCTAAACTTTTTCTGTGCTTAATGAGAGTTTATTCATTCATTCATTCATTCAAAAACGTTTATGGAATACCAATGAAGTGGAAGACACTGTTCCAGGCGTTTGTGATTTACCAGTGAACAAAACAAAGATCCCTGCCCTCATGAGATTTTACATTCCAATGAAGACAGACACACAATAAACATAATCAATAAGTATGGTAGGCTCCCTCTAAGTGGCTCCCAGCGGTCTCTGGTATTCACATTCCTATGTAATTCTGCGTGTGGGTGGCGGGGAGGGGCGGGGGGTGTAGGTGTGTTGGGAGGGTGGGATATTGGACCTAACAAATAGAATACAGCAAAAGTGATGGGCTGTCACTTTCAAGATTAGGTTATAAAAGACTATGACTTCTATCTTGCTCACACACTCCTTCTTGCTCTCCCCTACTTGCTTGCTCTGAATCTTGTGCACTGCCCTGTAGAGAGGCAAGGAGTTGAAGGCGGCCTCCAGACAACAGCCAGCACTGAACTGAGGCCCTCCATTCGATGGCCCATGAGGAACTGAACTACGCCAACTATTAAATGCATGCATTTATAATGACTCCATCTCCAGTCGAGCCTTGAGATGACCAGAGCCCTAGCCAACACTTCAAGCACAGCCTGTGAGAGACCCTGAGACAAAGGACCTACCCAGATTGCTGCCAAAAACTATGATAATAAATGTTATTGTTTGAAGCCACTAAGTTTTGGAATGATTATTTTACATAGCAACATATAACTAATACATTAATTATATGGCATGCCAAAAGGAAATGCAAAAAAACCATGTGGAGCAAAGTAAAAAATAGAGGAGAGGTGCAAGTCTTTTTTAAAAAAATGTTTAAACAATGTAAAAAACAATGTTTAAAAGGGGTATTACCAATACTTACACACGAATGCTTACAGCAGCATTATTCATAAAAGTCAAAAAGTGGAAACAACCCAAGTGTCCATTAATTGGTAAATGGATAAACAAAACGTAGTATGTCTATTCAATGGAATATTATTCAGCCATAAAAAGAAATGAAGTACTGATACATGCCACAACATGGATGAACCTCAAACATAGGCTAAGTGAAAGAAGTCAGTCACAAAAACCACATACTGTATGATTCCACCATAAGAAATGTTCAGAAAAGAAAATTGATAGAAACAGAAAGTAGTTTAGTGATTGACTAGGGCTGGAGGTGGGAACAAGATTAACTGTAAGTGGACATGAGGGATCTCACTGGGGTGATGGAACCATTCTAAAACTGGATAATGGTGGTGGTTGCTCAAATCAGCCAACTTATTAAAAATCATTTAACTGTACACTTAAAACAGGTAAATTTATGATATGTAAATTATACCTCAAAACGGCTACTGGGGGTGTTAACATGGCATCATTGAGAACATAACATTAGTAGAAGTTTGAAGGAAGAGTATTAGCCATGTGCATATCTGAGGGAAACATCTCTGACAACAGAGAGCCTATGCAAAGACCCTTGGGCAGGAGAATACCTGGTGTGCTTGCTGCACAGCAGGGTGCCAGTGTGGCTGGAGCTGAATTTGAAAGAGGAAGGTAGGAGATGAACAGACAAAATTAATGATGGATGGAAGATGGTGGTGATGGGAATCATACAGAGTTTTGTTTTTTCTTTTTTTGGGGTTTCTTTTATATATATATTTATATATTTTTATATATATTTATATATTTATATATATATTTATATATATTAATATATATTTATATATATATTTATATATATTAATATATATTTATATATATTTATATATATCTATATATATATAAATATATATATCTATATATATAAATATATATTTATATATATTTATATATATAAATATATATTTATATATTTTTTATATAAATATATATTTATATTTTTTTATATATTTATATAGATATATATTTATATATAAATATATATTTATATAAAATTTAAGTTGTGGGATACATGTGAAGAACGTGCAGGTTTGTTTCATAGGTACACACATGCCATGGTGGTTTGCTGCACCCATCAACCCATCATCTACATCAGGTATGTCTCCTAATGGTATCCCTCCCCTAGCCTCCTCCCCACCAACAGGCACCGGTGTGTGATGTTCCCCTTCCTGTGTCCATGTGTTCTCACTGCTCAACTCCCACTTATGAGTGAGAATATGCCATGTTTGGTTTCCTGTTCCTGTGTTAGTTTGCTGAGAATCATGGTTTCCAGCTTCATCCATGTCCCTGCAAGGGACATGAACTCATCCTTTTTTATGGCTGCATAGTATTCCAGGGTGTATATGTGCCACATTTTCTTTATCCAGTCTATCACTGATAGGCATTTGGGTTGGTTCCAAGTCTTTGCTATTGTGAACAGTGCTGCAATAAACATACGTGTACATGTGTCTTTATAGTAAAATGATTTATAATCCTTTGGGTATATATCCAGTAATGGGATTGCTGAGTCAAATGGTATTTCTGGTTCTAGATTCTTGAGGAATCACCACGCTGTCTTCCACAATGGTTGAACTAATTTACACTCCCACCAACAGTGTAAAAGCATTCCTATTTCTCCACAACCTCTCCAGCATCTGTTGTTTCCTGACTTTTTAATTATGGCCATTCTAACTGGTGTGAGATGGTATCTCATTGTGATTTTGATTTGCATTTCTCCATATAGAGTTTTTTATACCACTGGAAGGACTTTGGCTTTTACCATGAGAGAAAAAAAGAGAAGTACATAAGGTTCTGGGAAGAGAAGTGATAAGGTCTGACTTGATTTTTTAAAGGATCATATAATTATAAGTTGCAAAAAGAAAATATAAAAGGCACCATGTAAGCTAGCTGCTTCCAGAGTTACTGACCTCTCTTACCTGACTGGGATATTGGAGAAGTCTTCCACTCAAAGGAGGGGGAAACTTGTTAGTGTCTCAAAATGTGGCCTGCAAGCCACATACATCATAACAACATGGAGGCTGGTAGCACGTGCAGGCCCTCAGGCTCCACCTCTGACTGCTGAATATCTGGGGCTGGGGATGAGACTCTGAATCTTACAAACTTCCCAGGTAATATCTTTGAGAAACACAATGAACTAGACAAACATTAAGGTCTCTTTAAACTCTAAATTATGAGAAACATATAGGCTACCTGGACCATGTTTATCTAAAGAAATGACTAGGATTTACAAATGGACATATGAATTGATTATTTTATTATGGATGAAGTCATCTTTTTTTCCATTCTCAAAAATCCTTACCCAGTTGTTTTTTTTCCCAGCATAAATTTCCATGTTCTCTCCATACTGTGGCTCCTCCAGTAATGTCTGGTATTCAAACATGAGGCGGGAGCTCTCCCGGAGGCGGCTACATTGGAATTGGTGATATTGTTGCACAAGTTCCTTCACCACAAGTAAGAGACATTCAGGATTTGAAGGATTCCAGGAGGCAAGATTCTGTAGAAGTCGTAACAAATAAAAGACCAGTTAAAACTGAAATTTCATACAAATCCAGTATCACATTCACACATCAATGTAGAGGAAAAGAGTAATAGAAATCTAAGAGGAACAGACTACTCCTCCTTAGCCATATACCCAGAGATGAAGTTAGAGAAATCTTTTGATATTGGCAATTTCTCCTGCCTTCTAAAAAAATCCTTGCAGAAAAATTGAGAAGGAATTCCATCATGAATAGGCAGAAAAAGTGAAGTGTAAAGCCGGGTAGTAACAAAACAAGAAACCTAAATATCCTAGAAGACCATAATTTTAGCCCTGGAAGACTTAATTTGTTTCTTATTCTTTTATAATTTTAATTTTTTTGATCTCTACCTAAATTCAGCATTATATGCTAAAGTAATTCAACTCAGATCCACAGACCATCTGTATCTGTAATACCAGATATAAATAAACGCTCTGTAAACACTAGAGCCTCACAGAAATATAAGCACAATGGTGACGGTTAGGCCTGAAAAAGATAGGCATAAAATAGAGACATGGGAAAATGTCTGCCAAATGCGCAAATCTGAATAACCACAGTTCATCCGTCAGTCACTCCTCCAAGTGAAAAAGGATGGTTCCAAGAAAAAAGCAGCTAGTTCAGCTTGGAACTCAATCACACTCAGGATTTTCCTTGAGACAACGTACTTAGGTATGCAGTAGTCCTCCATGTGTACTCTCATTGTGTCGCACAGAATATTGAAAGCATGTGTACTCAAGGGTTATGACTTTATAAAATTCATAGTTTTTGTTACTTCATCAAAGACTTTTTTTTTTTTTTGAGATGGAGTCTCGCTCTGTCGCCCAGGCTGGAGTGCAGTGGTGCGATCTCGGCTCACTGCAAGCTCCGCCTCCCGGGTTCACGCCATTCTCTTGCCTCAGTCTCCCGAGTAGCTGGGACTACAGGCGCCCGCCACCAGGCCCGGCTAATTTTTTTTGTATTTTTAGTAGAGACGGGGTTTCACCGTGTTAGCCAGGATGGTCTCGATCTCCTGACCTCATGATCCGCCCGCCTCGGCCTCCCAAAGTGCTGGGATTAGAGGCGTGAGCCACCGTGCCCGGCCAAAGACATTCTTAAGTGAACTGTCGTTGTTTTTTTAACTGAGTATGTGTGACAACAGAGAATAAAATAACCATGAGTATAGCTTGACGTCTGCTGTGGTTAATGCCAAGTCATCAGTTTTGCCCACCACTGCTTCTGCAACGTAAATGCAAACATTAACACTGTAAAAAAGATGCCATAATATCTTAATAAGATTATGAAAACAGTTTTGACTTTGCAGACCCCTGAAATGGTCTCAGGGATCCTCAGAGGTCTGCAGACCACACTTTGAGAACCATCAACACTACTTTATATTGCCTTAAGGACAAACCAAGCATAGCTTCTACCAAAAGAAAACAAAGAAAAAGTAAAGGAATGCATTTTTTAAAGGAATTACTTTGCTCTACTGAGTGAGTTGATTTATAGGAACTAAATGACAATGGGGAAATTCATAAGTGTTCTTTCATTTATAGGAAAAACGGGTCTTAGGATGTTCAGATAAAGATGATGAACAGAGGAAAAGGTAAGAGCTTCAGCATCATACAGTGAATAAGAGGGGTATCTTGATATGAAAGTGATTTGATAAGTAAAGTACAAAGTTTTCCCTGGCAAATCTGTTGACCTCAATAGCCAGAAACTCCTTCTGAGCTGTTCAAGACTAAATTCAAAGTATCAGTAGGATATAACAGCACCGTATAGAACTTAAAATGATCCTAACATAGCTTGCTATGCATTTCCTTCAGAGAGCATTGCTAAACATTTATAAGCAAGAATAAAATACAATATTTCATTTCTTGGTCAAGTATTCCTTACCAGTCCTCATTCCCTACTAGAGCAAAAAGAAAAGTTAGTTGTCTTGATTTATATTTTTTAAATTCTGTCATTTCTCCTTAGTTATTTGGCAAGTTACAGGCCTATATCCAAACAATTTTTAAAAATTATAAAAACATATAAGTTGGCAACATACCTTACCAACTTGAATTCATTTCAAGTGATTCAAACAAATGGTTAAAGACATACCAACCAGTCTCCTTCCATTAAAATATAATTTCTTTATTGATCTCCTTAGCCATTCAAGGCAAACTCACTGGAAAACACTCCCAATCAAGGATGGTTTAGCTATACTAAACAAGATAAAAATTCCTCTAGTATTGCTACACGACCACTTTTACTTGTTAGGTAATTTGTGGTTTGAACCACTTTGCCTAGAAGGGGAGAAAACAGAAGATATATAAAGTTTTAGTTACTCCCTAAGAATAGGGCATATTTTAAAAACAGGTCTGGCAATACAAGGCATTGGAGCTTTCCATTCTCTTGAGTAGGAGATACAGAAAAATGCCCAAAGCTCCTTCAGGGAAAGAGGAGGAGGAGGCATAAGTTAGCAGGCATCTATGAAAAAGAGAAAAATAAGTGTTTCTCTCTCTATTCACAAAGTTCTTCTTCTACATCTTTTTGGTAATGCTTGAAGGAAGAAATCTGAAATGAAGATGGTCACAAAGAGTAGGCACAGGGCACATCACATATTAACAGAGAAAAGAGCATACAAAAAAGGATTCCAAAAATGAGGAATGAAAAACGCATTCAGAGAAAGTGATAAAACACAGTCAAAGAAAATAAACAAAAGCAAAAGAAAATTCACTACTATTTTATAATAGAAACTTCATTCATTCTCACAAAAACACCTATGAAACAGTTCAGGGAAGGTATCACGCCAATTCTTTTTAAAGACTAGTTAACTAGAGAGATTAAATAACTGCTCACATTCACGTGTAAACAATAATTGAGACTGTGTAGAATGTAAATCTGCCTACTCTTCCTCCAATCAGTTAACTAAAATATCAGTTTTGAACCAACGAACTGGCACTTGCCTCTTTGTGGTCATGAGCGAACTCATGAATAGTGGTAATTTTGAATTGTTTACTTTGGCTCCCCTGTCTAGGCTGCCTGACAGGACCAGTGCTCCAAGTTCATGTGACCCCTCACCTTCCCACATTTCTCTCTCGTAAATACACTCCATCACGTACCTATGTGCTCCCATATCAATAGCTCCGCAGACTTGAACAAGCCCAACCAATCCTCAGAGCTCCTCCTTATCAGAGCTTCCTTCTTCAGAAAGACAGTGAGGAATAGTAGTTTCAAGGCCTAGCTCACCCTCAATTCCGGTTCCACTTATCAAAACCCATAGTTTTTTGGCCACAGTGCCACAAATTTAGACATGCGCGAGGATACCTATAAACGGAAAACACTGAGAAACAATGTAGTCTGTCCATGTCTGTGGGGAGATAAAGGAGGAAACTAAGCAAATGAAGAAATGAGACTTAGAACCATCTCTGCTTAAAAAGGGAGGGAAAAAAATCTTCCGGGGGGAAAAAAATTATTTAATGAAATTAATCTTATGATAAAAATGTTCAACTAATAAAAGGATAAGGTACAGGAATACATTAGAAATATAACAAGAAAATTATCAAAAACTTCTTACTACAAAATTTTGCCCAACTCTCTAGCATATCGATAAAATAAAAGGAAATTAAAAGAGACTGACAATATATGAAAAGTATGCAAGCCCATTAGTGTTAAGGAAGTATAATTTTCCTAATTTCTCCTTTTTAATAAACTAATTTTTCATTGAAAAAGTAATATATGCACACGGTAAAACGAATATTTTTTAAATGGCATAAAAGAATGTAAAGAACAATATTAAGTCTCCCTCCAGCCTATATTATGAGATCTTCTCCCTAGAGAAGATACTTTCCCCCACACAGGGCCTGCACACGGCACCAATGTCTGACCCTTCCTAAGTTCCTCCACATGACCCATGGCTCTGCCACTCTATGCTGCCTCTCCCACTCTTTGAAGCTCCAAACACTGCTTCCATGGTGCATGCTTCCCTCAGATCAGTGTCTTACTTTCAACTTATTATCCTGATAGTGCTTCAGCTCCACAAATTGTTTCTGGCTCCCATGGAACCCTCTGATTTGGCCTGTCCCTCACCCAGCATTTCCCACAAGAGAAGAAAGTTGGGCAAAAATTATGAGAAACAATGTTTATATCTTAAATTAGTCAAGTTCTTTTTTTCAGCAAACAGCTAATGTTGGTGAAGATATAATTTCATGGACCTTTTACACAAGGAATTGTAAACTCATACAAGTAGTTTGTGTGTGTGTGTGTGTGTGTGTGTGTGTGTGTGTGTGTCAGAGAGACAGAGAGTCTTAGAAATGTTTATTCTCAATGCCTCTAGAAATCTTATTTCTGGGAATCTAGCTAATCTGCAAATAACTAAAAATAACGGGGGGGACTTTATAGACAGAAATACACATAGAGTCATTTGTAATATCATGAAACTGCAAACAATCTAAATACCTGATAATAAGAACTGTTTTAAAAACTGTTAAAGTAATTCAAATAAATAATCTGCAACTATGTTTCTATACTATTACAGTATGTTTATACAATTATATATATAATTTATAAACAATTACAATAGCACAGAAACAATTGCAATAACACAGAAAATACTTTTGTTAAAACACTAAATGAGGAGAGATATAAATCTATATATACATTATGATTACAACTTGGCTATCCCCATCCCCTCCCAACCTTCCACAGCAAAAACCATCTTAACATGGAAAATTTATTGGGAGAAATGTTGATAACTGATATCCATAGTTGGGAGCTATTTAAAAAAGTTTTTTGCTTCTTCCTGTTTTTCTGTATTTTCCAAATTTTCTGAGTGTATATACATGCATATGTATGTATGCATATATAAGACATGCACATACTTTCATAATGGAAATATAACTTTTAAGAAAACATAATAGCATACTTCACATCTTTTATTTCACACTTCACATATTTCATTTCTGTTTTTCAATCTCAAAGTTTAAGAAATTCCATTTGTCATTTATACATTTTATGACGTCAGACTCCAATTGTCTCTTCTACACAACTAAAAAAGTTAGCCAGTGCCATAACCGTCTGGAAAACAAATCTTGCATCATTTGGCCCTAAACACGTATGCTTCAAGTAACTTTGAATTTACTATTTCTTAAATTCTGAGCCTTGCAGAACATTTCCAGAAAGCTAATGCAACATGCTAAAGTGTAGTGGTCACAGTTGAAGCAGTTTATTGTGCTTTCCTTAGCCAAAACTCTTTTGTGTTGCATTCATCTAAATGCAAAGTCTTACTAAGCAAAAAGAACAAATCTGGAGGCATCACATTACCCGACTTCAAACTATACTATAAGGCCATAGTCACCAAAACAGCACGTTACTGGTATAAAAATAGGCACATAGGCTAATGGAACAGAATAGAGAACTCAGAAATAAAGCCAAATACTTACAGCCATTTGATCTTCAACATGGCCAACAAAAACATAAAGTGGGGAAAGGACACCCTATTCAACAAATGGTGCTGAAATAACTGGCAAGCCACCTGTAGAAGAATGAAACTGGATCCTCAGCTCTTACCTTATATGAAAATCAACTCAAGGTGGATGAAAGACTTAAATATAAGACCTGAAACCATAAAGATTCTATAAGATAACATAGGAAAAACCCTTCTAGACATTGGCTTAGGCAAAGACTTCATGACCAAGAATCCAAAAGCAAATGCAACAAAAACAAAGATAAATAGATGGGACTTAATTAAACTAAAAAGCTTCTGCACAGCAAAAGAAACTATCAGCAGAGTAAACAGACAACCCACAGAGTGGGAGAAAATCTTCACAATCTATACATCTGACAAACAACTAATATCCAGAATCTACAAAGAACTCAAACATATCAGCAAGAAAAAAAAAATCTCATTAAGAAGTGAGACACGTGCACACCTATGTTTATTGCAGCACTATTTACAACAGCAAAGACTTGGAACCAATCCAAATGCCCATCAATGATAGACTGGATAAAGAAAATGTGGCATATATATACCATGGAATACTATGCAGCCATAAAACAGGATGAGTTCATGTCCTTTTCAGGGACATGGGTGAATCTGGAAGCTATCATTCTCAGAAAGCTAACAGAGGAACAGAAAATCAAACACTGCATGCTCTCACTCATAAGTGGGAGTTGAACAATGAGAACATATGGACACAGGGAGGGGAACTTCACACACTGGGGCCTGTCAAGGGTTGGGGGGTAAGGGGAGGGAGAGCATTAGGACAAATATGTAATGCATGTGGGGCTTAAAACCTAGATGATGGGTTGACAGATGCAGCAAACCACCCTGGTTCATATATACCTATATAACAAACCTGCACGTCCTGCACATGTATCCCAGAACTTAAAGTAAAATGTTTTAAAAAGTGGACTAAGGACATGAATAGACAATTCTCAAAAGAAGATATACAAATGGCCAACAAGCATTTGGAAAAATGCTAACATCACTAATTATCAGAGAAATGCAAATCAAAACCGTAACACAATACCACTTCAGTTCTGCAAGAATGACCAAAATCAAAAAATAACAGATGGCGTGGATGTGGTGAAAAGGGAACACTTTTACATTATAAAAGTAAAAAAAGGGAATGTAAACTAGTACAACCACTATGCAAAACAGTGTGGAGATTCCTTAAAGAACTGAAAGTAGATCTACCTTTTGATCCAGCAATCCCACTACTAGGTATCCACCCAGAGGAAAAGAAGTCATTATATGAAAAAGATACTTACACATGCATGCT
Source organism: Homo sapiens (assembly GCF_000001405.40). NCBI lineage: Eukaryota > Metazoa > Chordata > Mammalia > Primates > Hominidae > Homo > Homo sapiens. The sequence goes on along the minus strand of NC_000002.12, from coordinate 28,018,460 downwards.
TACAGCAGCACAATTTGCAATTGCAAAAATGGGGAACCAGCCCAAATATTCATCAATCAACGAGTGGATAAAGAAAATGTGATATATATCATGGAATACTACTCAGCCATAAAAAGTAATGAAATAATGGCATTCGCAACAACCTGGATGGAATTGGAGACTATTATTCTAAGTGAAGTAACTCAGGAATAAAAAAACAAACATCGTATGTTCTCACTCACACGTGGGAGCTAAGCTACGAGGACACAAATGTATAAGAATGAGGACACAAAGGTATAAGAATGACGCATTGGACTTTGGGGACTCAGGAAAGGGTGAGGATAGCAAGAAATAAAAGACTACACGTTGGGCACAGTGTACACTGCGTGTGTGATGGATGTACCAATCTCAGAAATTGCCACTAAAGAATTTATTCATATAACCAAACACCACCTGTTTCCCAAAACCTACTGAAATACAAAAATTAAAAAATTTTTAAAAACCTGTACACAAATGTTCATAGTAGCATATTCCTAATAGCTAAAAAGTACAAACAACCCAAATGTCCATCAACCAATGATGAATAAATACAATGTGTACACACATACAATGGAATATCATTCCACAATAAAAATACTGATTCATGCTATGACAGGGATCAACCTTGAAACATTAAGCTGTGCAAGAAGCCAGACCTAAAGGCCACACATTGTATGAATCCATTTATACAAAATGTCTACAAAAGCCAAATCTATAGGGACAGACTGTAAATTAGTGGTTGCCTAGGGCTGGAGACTTGGGGGAAAATGAGGACTGCTAATGCATACACAGTTTCTTTTTGGGAATGATTAGAATGATCTAAATTCACTATGGTAATTGATGACTGCACGACTCTGTGGATATACTGAAACAACTGAATTTTATACTTCAAATGGATGAGTTACATATCAATTAGATCTCAATAAAGCTGTTGAAAAGGAAAAAAGTAAAAATCTTTCTACAACTTAGTAATAGTGCATTAGGTAATTTCTAATTTTAAACTTCTAATGTCTATAATCATGAATAAATTATACAGAATATGCAGAAAAAAATAAAATAAATGGGAAGTCTTAGGAAATCACCAACAACATTTTACATTTCTAACAAAACTGGAACTGAACAAGCATGATTTTTTAAAATGTCACTCCATCTGCAGAATACCAAGGATAACAACAAAAATAAATTTGCTATTGACCTATTTGTAAGAGGACCAAGTATTATCAGCAATAAGTGTTTACACCGTACATTTTGTTAAGTATGTATAATTCCTCTAATATATCATCTAAAACAATTGAAATGAAATCATTTTAAACATATTTTCCTAATTTCTTCAAATATAACAATTTCCAAATTTTGTAAAGTCAAGTGGACATAACATGAATTTGAGGATGGGAGAAAGAGAAGCTGGATTAAGAAAAACTAACTTTGGGACTATTCAGAGCAAGTCTACTCCTTCTTCCATGTAAATACCCTTCAAATATTTATAGTCATGTGGCTAACAAAAAAAGGTAACACAGCACTGCCAATCACATCCCTTATGGTTTTAACTTGCAGATTATATTTTGGGATTTTGTTCTTGATAAATTTCAACTATTACGAACAAAATGAAGTGGAGACAAGAAAGAATATCACAGTAGTACCCTTCACCACTACAAATTGTAGCACACTGATAGAAATAAATATTGGTAAGGCAAAAAAATTAAACAGGGTAGTTCTGTGATCCTCCATGGCTTTGTTTTCAAATATTCTAATAATTCTCTTCCCCCTTGTAAGCAGAGCCTATAGAGTCTGATGAGATTGTTGCTATGATGTTTGAAGCTGTTCATTGCAGTCTAAAACACAGTGGATTCTGGGATGTACAGAAGTTAATTAGAAAGAAATGCACCTGCGGCGGGCCCGCTTCGGCCATCTCTCCGGCCCAGTTTCCCTCGGCGTGCGACTGTGTGCTCAGCCCAGCACCATGGGCAAGTGGGACAAATGGGTAGCCTATATGAACCCAACAGCAATGGCGAGATCAAGGGGTCCAATCCAGTCTTCAGGGCCAAAAATACAGGATTATCTGAATCGATCAAGGCCTACCTGGGAAGAAGTAAAAGAGCAACTAGAAAAGAAAAAGAAAGGCTCCAAGAGTTTGGTTGAATGTGAAGAAAAAATGAATGAGAACTGGAAGAAAGAACTAGAAAAACACAGGGGGAAATTGTTAAGTGCAAGTGAGAGCTCATCCAAAAAAAGACAGAGAAAGAAAAAAGAAGAAATCTGGTAAGTATTCATCTTCTTCTTCATCAAGCTCTGATTCTTCCAGCAGTTCTTCTGATTCTGAAGATAAGGGTAAGAAACACGGAAAACTGAGAAAGAAAAAGAACCGTTCACATAAATCTTCTGAAAGGTCCATGTCAGAAACTGAATCAGACAGTAAGGATAATTTAAAAAAGAAAAAGAAGTCAAAAGATGCAACTGAGAAAGAAAAGGACATTAAAGGACTCAGAAAAAAGAGAAAGATATATTCTGAAGATAAACCTTTATCATCTGAGTCCTTGTCAGAATCAGAGTATATGGAGGAGGTACGAGCAAAAAAGAGGAAAAGCAGTGAAGAACGAGAAAAAGCAACAGAAAAAAACAAAACAGAAAAAGAAGCATGAGAAAAACAGTGGAAGAAGAAAAAGAAGCCTGCTAGTTCAAGTCCTGACTCACCATAACATTCAGAAAAATCAGGATTCCCTTATAAAGAAAGCACAATGTCTGAGGAAATTTCAACTGTGAAAACTATAACATATTTACTAAAATGCATGAATTTTCTTGTTTTTAGAATTATTCCTGGACTATTCAGTAGCCACTCAGATGCCACTGTGTGAAAGGGCCATAAATGCTGCCTGCTGCTTGAACATCTATTTTTTTCTCTTCCAGTGCTTGATAACTCTGGTAGATAATACACTGCAGTTGTATTAGTGGTTAAGATATTTGGGAATAAAATTAATACTTTTGACTAGAAGTGTCTAAAGATAAACCAACAGAAATTGAATCTGGATACATCTTTAAGATGTGATCAGAAATGACTAGATGACTCTAGTTAAAATTTTTGAAGGAGGGATTAAATTAATATTTCAAAACCCTTACTCTGTAGATAAATGTATTTTAATTTTTCCCCTTGTATACCTTTATTTACCTGGGGAAGGAGCTTTTAGGGTTAGGGGGTGGTTTGCTATCTCTTTAGCTAGCAGAATAGTGTGCCTTTGATCCTCACACATCTGTTTTGTGGACACAGCAGCCATGCTTCACAGGAAGGTCAGAGCTGGCTACCAGCAGTCTTGCCCTTTACTGAGCTTAGTGTCATCCTTGGATGCTGTCATATGCTGCTTTGAGTGAACCAGAGAAACAGCCATTTGCAGCATGAGAAAGACCCAAAAGCTCTGGGATTTACTTCCACTTCAATAATAATGAATATTTTTTAGCATTAGAATGTGTTATGTCATTTGAATTAATTTTGATTACGCTTTGGCTTGGGAAAGGAATTATTTTAAATAGACACTGGTACTTTCTGAACTTGATAGCTAAGGATTCTAAAATGCACATTTTATACTAAGTTTTAACCAGTCAGGAAAATTTTATGTAACCAGTGATAGTTTATTTTTTGTATGAATTTTGTTTAGGCTGCAATGTTTAGTTTTTGTTAACTCCTCACTCTCGCTGTTTTAAGTTCATTACTATGTTTAACAACCTACTTGCCAAGATATTTAGCATGTAAAATGCAGGGTTTTGATTTAAAAAAAAAAAAAACCAGCTTCATATTGAAGCTGAGACTTAACCATAAACAAGTTGAGTGGCAAAAAAAAAAAAAGAAAAAGAAAGAAAGAAATGCAAATATCTGCCATCCAAATGAATAGCTAAGTAGACACCAATAAATGGCCACTTCTGGGATTAATTTGGGCTAGTAAAAGTATTCCTAGAAACACAGTTAGGTTAAGTCCTCACATTTACTTAGGAACTGTGTCTGTCAAGTAAACTGAATGTATGCCGGTAAAACATGGTGATTTGCGACTTGTGTTTGGGGGCTTCTGGTGGAGCCAGAATTAGTCTGAACAGAAGGCACTTCAGGCTTTCTAAAGCCTGTTTTAACCAGAACACCTCTGTTGTTCTGGTTTTTGTTTGTTTTAGTTTGGCTTGGTTGGAGTTTTATCAAATATGTTGTTATTTGAAAAGAATCTTTTTTTGGAAAAATTGATCTAGTCTAATACACAGTGAATAGTTCAGTGAAATCTTAATGTTACCTCCCCCCATCCTGTATGTGACCCTCATCTCAATACCAGAAGCCCTGCTAAGTGGAATCAGTAATCATAACATGGCCATGGAGGAATGGCATAGGATCTTCACAAAAACGTGAAGAAAAGTATGTCCCTTTGTTTTTTTCCTTTCAGTTTTTGTTTTTAAGACTTTAGCCACAAATTATCAAATTAGTCAACAAATATGCAGCTCATGCTTGGAGTAAAAGGGATTTATCTTCTTAAATCCTACATATCTTAACGATAAGCAGAGTGGAGCTGGCAGTTGCTCCAGAAAAACTCAACTGTTTTGGGGAGTTTTTGGGAGCAGCCATGGAAGCCATGGAAGCTTCTGATTGTGGTTCTGCCCCTCCTTTATCTTGAGCTCTCCAAGGTTCTGACCTGCCTCTCAACCAACAACCAACTTCACTGTGAGCCACGTGTACACACACACACGTGTGTGTGTGTGTGTGTGTGTGTGTGTGTGTGTGTAAGAGCTTTTTTTTTTTTTTTTTTTTTTTACTTGCTGGACAAAATCAATCAGACCATTCCCTGGCTTACAACCAATGAAATCTTCTAGCTACTTGTGGTAATATGATCCTGATTCTCATGTCAATACAGAATATGACAGTTATATATTCTTGAGGAGGACATATGTCTTGGGCAAAATGCACAAATACCTTTGTAGCTGAAAAACCACTTTCCCATAAAAGTTTGTGATAGGACTGGTAAGACTCATAATGGAGAAAAAACAAAATAGGAAATTTTAAGTCTGAACTTTTCAAAATGCCATTCAGTAGGCAGCCTCACCCAGTTGCTAGGTAAGCCAAACTTCCAACTAACAGAGGAATTCTAGGGCATGTTCAAATATCTACCAAGAGATGACCTACTGGTGGAATCTTATCAGAATTTATCATCTCAATTTTGTGCCAGGGTGTCAGAATCTTTGGAGGTGGCATACTTCACATGTCTAGTTTCCTCCATAGGCAAGTAAGCTTTAAACCTAAAACATGCAAAAGTATCCCAAAATGATAGCTAATTATAATTATGGCTCCATTTATAAAATTCAAAAGCCTGTGATGTCCCTTCTTGCCCATCAGAAATTGCTATATAGATTACCTTTCAGTTCCTCTTAAAAGAAGGTAACCAGTATGCAGCCCCACTCCATCTTGAATTTCCACTTCAAATGAGTCTCTAGGATCACCCAGCTTAATTCCAACTTGTGTTTCTTTCTTAAGAATCGGGGATGGATAAATGGGAGGAAACAAAGGTGGGAGAGAAGTGGAGAGCGAAGAAATTTTAAACCACATCTCTTGATCTAATCTTCCTCATTTATTAAGAGAAAGAAAGTAGGCAAATTCCTTTCTATCTTGGAAAGTCCCTCAAGTGGGACAGGAATGAAAAGAATACCCTCCAAAGGAAAAGAATCTTAATTAGCCATTTTTCTCTTAAAACTGTAACCACGCAGAGAATAAAAATAATGTATTTTCCAAAACACGCATTAGAGAACTAAGGCCAAGAACACTGAAATTATTGAACATAAGCACCGTGAAGAGTACTAGAGTGACTAACAACTAAATATACTCTATTTCTTCCATAGGTGTTGTCTTTATCCTCACAATTTTAAGGTAATATCGTTTAAATACAAAATCAAATCTATTTGGGGCCAAAATGCTCAAGTTTTAAACCAGTGGTTTCTCAAAAATATATGTATTAATATTATTAGGACAAAATGTCAATGTAGGCTAAAATTTGACTTATGAATCCTAAACATTAAAACTATTTTTGTGGCCCCAGCTTGGCTGTGGTTCTAAAATGAATGTCACCATTTACCTTAGCTATTGATGCCACACACCTCAATTAATGCTACTCAGACCCAGAGAATGAAAGGCAATGGCAGAAAGGGAATTAGCAAATATGATTTCTAACTTAATTCAAATTGTTTTTCCTGGGGAAGTATTTAAATTTTCCAGGTTGCTCGAATATCATCCAGGGATGTGATTTTGAAGGAGACAGCTTGTTACTGTTTTTCCTGGCTGTACTACAAGAAACAACAGTGTGAGCTTATTTTAAGTTAATGTGTGCTTCTGTGTTTCTTTACAAGAAATTAACTGCAATCATTTAGTTAAAGCAAACACTTTGTTAGTGTTACACTTTTCATTAGAAAATGTCTTCAGGAATCTTTCAAACTTAGAGAGTTAAGAATCCCAATTCCGTCCAAAGATTTTAAACTTGGAGCAAATTATTTAAATCACAATGAAAGATCATTTAAGCTTAGTGACCCTTTGCTGGCACTGAATATTTTATAGCCATAGGGAACTCCTATCCATTCTCCCAGATCAAGATAGTAACATTTTCCTGTCTCAGTCGGCACCAGACCCCACAGTAGATTCTGATTTCCTTCTGACTATGATAATCACAAACAAACCCACAGGAATAGGCAGTATGGAACAAGAAGAGCAAACAGTTTCAACCAATTTGTTATTTACAACTGGAGAAACATCTGCAGGCTCTGACACCTAGTTTCTGATCTCTGCCCTAGATGACTTCCCTAGTGAGAATAGGCCCCTGGGCTACAATGATTTATATTATGTAACTGTTTCTCCACATCTTAGCTGAGCTCCCTGGACTTTAGACCTGCAATATTTGCCAGACCCTCTTCCTCTTAGTCGAAATCCCAGCTATAGGCTTTTCTGGCCAGTGTCTTAAAACCACCAATGTCCTAGTAACACAACTTATGTGCAAATGGGCAGGTAGAACTCTGAATGAAAACGAGACTACCCCAGGCTCTTCGGGTTATAACAGCCACATGCAGCTATAAGAGCAAGAAAGAAAAAGCAAAGCAAAATAGACACTCAACTGAAGGAAAGGATATCCACAAAGCACAATACACGGGATACTAAAGAGCTTTCAATGTCTTTACTCTTCTCCCTAAAAACTCTACCTCTTATCCCCAGATCCATATAATATCCTTGGTCTAAACATACATTTAGTAAACATCCATTGTTTCACGTCCAACATCCATTCCCCTCTTGCTGATAACACCAAACCAAATTTTGTGGGGGAGACTTCCCTTCCCCATTCTCAGGCATAAGTTTTGAGTGGGAACCTCCAGTTCTCTATAAGCTCTATAGGTCCTCACTATCTAACCCCATCAACATTGCCTATGCACTTAGCTCAATGTTTGATTCAGCCACTGGACACATATCCAGTCAAACCCAATGAGATAAACAAAGACATCAGCTGGGACTGCTGAGAAATAAAGGCTTTCTTTCTTCCTATGAAAGGAGAATATAAAGTCTGAATTGGAGTAACAATTTTTTATTCACAAGGGAAAAGACTTGTGAACCTGTGTGGATATGGGGACTAAAAGTTAACACAATGGGAGGAAGAGCAGAGAAGAAAAGAAATGGGAAGAAACCAGGTCCTTAAATAACATTATTTCAGCCACTGGACCAAGCTTTGTCTGATGCTCAATTCTGGACTGTTAAGTTCTCTAAGCCAATTAATTCTCTTTATAGTTAAAGCCAGTTTGAATCAGGTTCCTGTCACTTAAAAAAAATGGAAATAAAGAATAATAAGAAAATAAAAGAGCACTGACACACCACAACACCATTATCACCCTTTTACCTCTTTAGGGGAAAGATCAGAGGAAGAGGCACATAAGCTCTTACTAGGCCATATAACTATTCAAGAGCACTTCAACCAAAAGTATAGATTTGGTTTGGGTTTTCTGCCAGAGACAAAAATTGAGTAGCTTCCTACATTTATCTGCAGAAAAATCTACATAGAGGATTAATCTATTTTTACTAACCCAATGATGATTATAATGATTTTTCTTAAGGAAAAAATAAATAATAAGGAAAAGAGGAAAAACAGAATCTATATTTTTGTATACTACAACTCATTCAGTAAATTTAAGTTAAAATGGATCTGAAAGAGGTATCTGAGATGTTCCCCATCCTAGATCTTTTCAAACACCAATAAGGTATTTGATTCAGTGGGTAATCAAGTGAAACTTATAAAAAAGCTAACAGTCCCATTGAAGGACATAAAGGAGAAAAATGAACAACTGTTCCAGACTAAATAAGGACCCTTTGATTACTGACATGTGTCTTTGATTACTGACATGCACACAATGAGCAGTACCCCAGTCCTTCTTTAGCACTGAGCTTAGACAGGAGGCCTTCACTGGCTTCACAGTCCCTTAAACAGGAGATATTTTTACCTTTCCTCCACTTGACTGGAACATATTCAGTATGTACAAGCTGTCCTGTGGTATCATATGAATGCTGGCTCCATGCCACACTGGAAATGTGTGCCTCTGGCCAGTAAACCTTTACATCTTTTGCACACATTCTCTCTCCAGGAGGCTTAAAATGGGTCCCCAGAAGGCAGCCATGGTGACTGCCTTCAAACCATTTATCAACTTAGCAATACACAATGATTATTGTTTCATCAGCTGTCACTTCCTTAAACTACTGCCATCCGTCTCTAGCCCCTAAACCCATTCCTCACCAGTTCTTTCAAAACTGTGGTGCCTCTCAAAGTAAACTTAAATAAAAGCATCTGTTTCAAATGGTACCATCCAAACAGCCTTCCCTGGGTCTCAGGATAAATAATCATGAAGACATACTCTCTCCAATGAAGTGCTTCACGAACCTTAACAAAGCATTAACATCCCAAGCTACCAATTTCGACTGCCATCAACTCATCGTCAAACAGACTAGGTTTCTTTTTATTAATAAAGAGCATTTATTAATAATTAATATTTTAAAAATCCCTTAATAGAAGGCTGCCAATATGCAATCTTCATTAACCAGGGAAGGCTGATATTTCCCTACAAGTATATGAACCTTTTCTACCTACTACCCTAGCTTCCACACTGGCTATCATCAGAATAACTGTGGAAGCATCTTAAAAAGACACAGTATCAGATCCAACCCTCTGATACACTGATTAAGTATGCCTGGGGTGAGACCTGCTCCTTGGCCCTATACAATCTATTCATGATTTTGGAGTCAGGTTCAGGCACCCACATAGCAGGCAAAACCCAGAACACTTACTTTTCCGATGAATTTTCTCATTGTGATTGAAGGCCCAAATAATTTCATATAAACTCGCTAGACCTTCACATACAATCCATTGACTAAACGATGGCTAAAAGCTCCACCCACTAGAGCTTTCCACTAGTTGCCCCACACGTATCCCAGGAAGTTACAGGTTGTGTCTCCAGACCTCTGGTCTACTTCTAACAATGAATATCACCTGGAATCCAGAGCTGCCCATATCCAGGGGGGAAGAACATCTTCAACAATGGAGAGCCAACATCACTCTTGCTCCTTTCTGCTTCTCCTATAGTAATGAATTTTACTAAACTTGATCCTTTCATCTGCCTAGAACTGTAATATCATCCAGGCTGTCTGTGAGATCCCATCACCCCAATTTAATGTCACTGGTGCCCTGGGGGGAAAGTGCCAAATAGCTTACTCAATGGTGTGATCATTCTCAAATTGGACATATTTATTTGTGTTTAATTTTTAAATCATCATCTTTTCTCTCAAATGTTTTTGTGATGGTTTCATTAAGATTAAGGAATTACGGAGCATTTGCAAATTGACCGCCTCAGCCTGCAGACATGCTTTCTTTGACCCACACAAATTTTTATTTGAAAATCTTTAAACAAAGCATACACACTTCAGCAGGTCACAATCCCCACCAATTCCAACTGTTTCATACATACTTTTTCATTCATTTGTGTTACCTGGGTACACTTGACTGGCTCCTTCAGACATTTGAGTTCGTAGCCCCTGCTACAAGTAAGATTACTGAGATTTTAGGGCATCTCCTAAAAAGACTGTTTATTTCTTCCCATGGTCTCTTCATTTATGGTAGATGCATCAGGTGTTTATTGGTGTCATGTAAGCAAAAGAATAGCTGAAGTTTCTCAGTCATTGAAAATTAAAGATGAAAAGAAACCTCTCCTATTTATTGCACCCACTAATGTTCATAAGAAATCACTGATTGTCTGGGTAATACAGTTACTTCATATCACTGTCTTTCTATGAGATTATAAACTATGGGAGGACAGGAACAGTATTTTATTCATCTCTATGCAAATACTGCATTAGACATTATGGGTTATTCAAAATGGGCACTCAAATTATTTTTCAAGTGAATGATCACTACTATTCAATTCATTATAAACAAAATTAGGTATATTAAAGGATCCAAAACATTTTCCAGGGTCAATAAAGATACTGGCTACTGGGAGCCAAGTTAATCTGTGGTTATTAGCAGAAGTAGAGAAAAGAAAATTGGAGAGCAATTCTGAAAATACAATATTGCAATATGACTAATTATAGTCATCAATCACAAAAAGTTTGAACAATCTGAAAAACAGTATCTTAAAAGCATTCTAAGACATAATTTCTTTCCAAAGGCTATCACACTTAAAATAAGAAAGTAAAAATAGTTATAAAAATGAAATGAAATTATTATGGCTCAATAGACAAGGTCTAAGGGATACAAAATAGCACATTAAATCAGTTCCCAGTTCATAAAACCTGTATGTGATGTTGATCTTCCTGTTTTTCATAAACCTTATAATTGTGCTTCCAGAAAGCTACCAAGCATCTGCCTCTATGTAGCTAATTCTTTTAATCTTGGAGCTCTAACAAGGAAATAGAGAGTATACTGTGCCAGGATCACTATCTTCTCCAGCCAAAAGCATTATGTCTTGGAGCCAATTTCCTCTTGGTAAATTTTGATCAAATTTCTTCCATTTGCAGCTTCCTTAGTACTGGTAATGGCTGCACATGTCACAGGTTGATATATATGTATATATGTTTAACAATATACATTATAAATTTAACGATAATATGTACACCTGTGCACATGAGTAAATATAAGTCTATGTATGCAGCCACACATATATATGCATCCATAGTAGTTCCTGTCTCTTTATGTGATTCTCTGTGACTACCATTCAGGCTTTCTTAATCCAGTGAAAATTCTCTGGTAACAAACATTACTTTGGAACTCTGCATTAATCAACTCTGCTATACAGCTACAATATAATGATAATTAAGGTTAATAATAATACTGATGCTATAAAGTCTCTTAAATGCTTCCAAACCATCAAAAAAAAAGATCAAATTATGTTCTACTTTTAGTGGAAGGGGTATTTTATTTAAAAAATCAATTATTTTAAAAGAACTGGTGGCCCATATATAGCTTATATATTTTTATGAGTCTGAATATTGGATTAATCCATATACCTTATTTCCCCACAATTCTCAATACAGAAGAATTTCTGTAATTTTTATATATGACACCTAACATTAATATACACACATTAAATATATCGTATACAGAGGTTACAGATTAAACAGATCACCATATTTTTCAACTACAATATATAATTCCTTAATCCTTCAAGTGCTAAACTAAACTGCTAACTCTCTAGTTGCTCCTGTTATTGTTTAAAATAAAGCATACTTAGTATCATTCACCTTACTTGATGAACAAGGGTCATTCTTATAAGAACAGATAGCCACTTTTTAAAAAGAGTGATATAGTTAGGGACGTTTTAGGTGAATAGGCTACCTGTCCTTAAAATAAATGACACCAGGATACTGTACCTTTAGAATCCTTGTTGCTTTTAATAGTTATTTTCTACTTGCTATACACTTATTTGTCTCATTTTGCTAAAACTAATGTCACTGCAAATTCTAATCTTCAGTCAAGCATTATATACAATTATCTAAATAAAATCTAAAGATGCCTCTATATGTTGTGTATAAAATAAAGCACATAGTCCTTATTTCAGCTATTTCACAAAATTTAGAAACCAGGATGGTAGGGGAAACCAGGGTTACTTTTGGTTTGTGACTATGTACCAAGTAATTTAAGGTACAAGAAATTTGGGACATATATCCAACTACCAATTTATATGAACTGCAGAGGAAGAAAGGAACATGTTAAACTATACCACAGAGATACAATCAGCAAAATCTAGTCTGTGGTAATTTTCTAGGACAAATGGCCCTGTTTCTGCAGCTATAAATTGCAAAAAAGGGGAAAAAAAAGATGGAGAAAACCAGTAACTTAAAAAGACTTGACATAACAATCACAATGCATAGATCTTAATTCAAACAATTAGGAATTTGAACAATGACTGGTTATTTGATGATGCTAGGGAATTACTGTCAATTTGTTTAGATAAGATAATGGTATTTTGGTTATGCTTTTTAAAAGATTTATATTTTTGCATATTATACTGAAATATTTACAGATGAAGTGTCATAATATGTGGGGTTTGCTTCAAACTACAATGCTACTAGGCAGTAAGTGAATAGGAGTATAGATGAAACAAGATTATGACGTGGCAATTATTGAAACGAGATCCATGGGGATTCATTATACAATACCCCAAAATAGAAAGTTTTTCAAATAAGGAAATTCTACAGTTGTAATTAATTTTGTTGTTTTGATTTCTGAAAATTATACCTAAGAATTATAATTGGATTTCTAAAATGGCTACTTACAAATTTATAGCCATGACATGAAGCTAAAAGTTAAAGAAGGTATGCAATTAATCTTAATTGTTTAATCTGGCTTAAAAATTTATCAATTTTCAAAACACCCTTAGTCCTTTATTCTAAATGTTACAAACATTTTAAAATGCATTGTTTCCTTGAAAAAGAAAATTTTCACAGGGCATGCTGCAAAACAGCACAAAAATTTTTATCTCAAATTTAATAATTACAAATTAAAAAGTCCAAAAAATACTAACAAAACATAAGAAATGGACTTAAAGCTCTCTTCAGGAAGTCAAAATCCTTAGATTAACAGACAGTATTTCAATTATTTGTGTTTAGTATTAAAAGGTTGACAATCACTATGACAGATTTTCTAATTCAGTAAAACACAGCTAAGGTTGTCTATGATGTATTCACTATGAACTAGACAAGATACATACATAAAATAAATCTATAGCTCATTCCAAAAGTATTTCTATTCAGTTCTATTTATATATCAATAAAAATATATAAACTCAAAAGTTTGAAATAGTTATCTCTTTTCCCAACTTGAAAATGCTTTTTAATTTAATCTGTATAGATTTACTGAATTTGGAGTAGAACCTAGATAGTAGTTGAAAGTAAAATAAATGGTTAACTAGTACATTAAATTAGTTTTAAATTAAAGTCAAATCTCATTGAGACACATTTTGCTTTTTAAAAATAATTCCCAGAGGCGCTAACTAGGCTAAAGTTCATGTTAACCTTGGAAACATCTTCAAATTACTAAAATAAATAAGTCTTTTTAAAATGTATTTTTAAGCCAGGCATGGAAGTGTGGTCCCAGCTACTCAGGAGGCTGAGGTGGGATCACCTAAGCCCAGGAAGTCGAGGCAGCAGTGAGCTGTGATTGTGCCGCCACACTTCCAGCCTAGGCAACAGAGACCCCATATCTTAACCAAAAAAAAAAAAAAAGTATCTTTAAACACACAAATTATATGTAATTGTTATGTCAATTAGTGTTTGTGCAAATTAATTTTTTAACCTCCTAAAGAACCACCTCCTTTGATTTTAAAAAGTGACTGATAACCTCTGGTAGACTATTTTAGATACTATAAGTAATTAGCTGTCCTTCTTTTGAAAATTCTATAATAATCCAGACTTTATTTTTCAATCTGGTTTCTTCATAAATGTTCTTGAAACAGATTCAAGAAACTGTATTCAATGTGTTGAATGTTTTGTTCATAATAATGTTGTACTTCTATTTTTGTAATCCTACCTACTTAAAAACATTCTTAAAACGTATACAAGGTCTACTGAGTCATTGTCAATTCAAGGCTAGAAACCATTCTGTGGTTAAAGGATTACATCAAACCAGTGTAAGGGCTGAGCTGGCGTTTTCCTTTACAGGTTTAAATATCTTGGCTCTCCAAAGCTTGTGTGGGGGCTGCAGTTTGGCATAAAATTCTCAGCAGGATGTAGATAATTTCTCTGAAAAATGTTTTTTAATGGCTAAGTGTTTTTTTTTTTTTTGCTTTTTAAAAATGTTGGAGAAAACATATATTAGAACCAGGTTCAAAATTTATGAGACTCTTCCTCTGTAATGTGCCCATTCTTGTAGATAACCCAAGTACAGCAGAGCAATCCCAATCCTAAAGACTTCATTAAGCACAAAACCTCATTGCTATATGAGTTGAAAGATAAGTACAAAAATCAAAACAAACTGCTTCAATTACAAAGGTAAACTTAGGGCTTCTTTGAAAATACATCCATGTGCTAAGCTCTCTCTGGTAATGATTATATGTTGTCCTTGGTCATTTTGGCCTCCACACCTCTGGTTTTCTTTCCATTTTTACATTCAAATATTACTGTCTTTATTCCCTAAAATGGCCTTGTGAGACAGGTACTTATCAGTTTTATCAATAAATAAATACATAGATCCTGCATAATCCACCTAGTAATCAATAAAACTAAATCTAGAGTTCAGATCTGTCTCGCCCATGTTCATTTTCAATACCTGTAGTTCTCGACTCTGGCTATAACACTAGAATTGGCTTTGTTTGTTTGTTGTTTTTGAGACAGGGTCTCACTCTGTCGCTCAAGCTGGAGTGCTGTGGTACAATCTCAGCTCACTGCAGCCTCAACCTCCCAGGCTCAAACGATTCTCCCACTTTAGCCTCCCAAGTAGTGCAATTACAGGTGCGCACCACCATGCCTGGCTAATTTTTGTTTTTTGTAGTGACAAGGTTTTGCCATGTTGCCCAGCCTTAGAATTGACTTTCTAAAACCACTGATGCCCAGGTTCTACCCCAGACTAAATAAATAAATTGAAATCTCTGGGAGCTAGGATCCAGCAATCAATACATTCCTGATTTCCCCATGAAATAATCACAGCACCACACAGCAATACAAGAAGAGAAATGTAGAAAGCAGGATGGCAGACATGGTCAACACTAAATTATCTACTTGCAAAACAAAGCTTTAATGTCATTTTCTTTTTTCACCCTACAGTCACTCACTTCCCCACTCCCAAATCAGTAAACACCAAGAAGTCACATAATTCTAGTATTTGCCTACATGAAGTATATTGGGAACATAAATCCTAATAATCACCAAAATGTATAAAACAATTCTAGCTAAAACACCCTCTAGATGATTTATAATTTTATACCCTCTTTAGCTACTGGCTCCCTTTATTATATTTTGTGGCCGTTTACTCCTTTCCGCATCTCTATCTTCCACCTGAGATTTTTGTCTTTCATCTCCCTGAAGAATTAGCAAAGGTTTGCTAATGATGAAGTCTCTGCTTTTGTTTACTTGAAAATGGATTTATTTCACTTAAATTAGTCAATCATCTTTTTGCTAGGTATAGGATTTTAAACAGTTGTTTAGTTTATCACATTAAATATATCACTAAACTGTATTCTCTCTTTCATTAATGCTATTAAGAAGTCAGCTAACAATCTAATGGTTGCTCTTTTGTTTTCTCTGGTTTCTTTTTTTAGATTTTTCTCCTTGTCTTTGGTTTTCTGTAATTTGCCATGATGTGTCTAGGAGTAAATTTCTTTGTAGATAGCCATCTTAGGATTAAGTGGACTACCTGAATCTGAGTAATTACATTGATTAATATTTATATACTGAATATATTTAGCTTTTTTAAAAAAAACTTTATTGCAAAATATAACAAATATATGGACAAGTTCACAAAACAAAAATGAATACCTTAATTAATAACAATCACAAAATCAACATCTGTGAAACAGATGGAGCACATGTACAAAGCTAAGCTCATCAGCACATTCTATTCCCCAGAGCAATAATGTTCACAGATACAATGACCTATATGAGGAAAGTCAAGACAAGTCTCAATTCCAAGACTTTGTGATACCAGACTTTCTTTTCTTCGGAACTTGGTGTTGTGATGTTCACCTAGAAGTACTAGGAGATACTAGGAAGAGCCTAAGAGTAATATCAGCGTGAGCAGAAGGCAGAGCAAAGCCCTGATAACATTGTTTAAGCCCTAAAACTATTCGCACCCCAAGCTAGTTCTACCCCTGGTCTTTACTGTTATATGAATCAATAAATTCCTTTTTTTTTTTTTTTTACCTGTTTGATTGTATTTTCTGTCACTTGCATCTCATCAAGTTCTAACTGCTACAATTCATCATGTGATTGCCTTTCCTGAAGTAATTTCTTCTTCATTTGAACTCTGTTATTACCTTTCTGATACAGTTTGGACATTTGTCCCCTCCAAATCTCATGTTGAAATCTAACTCCCAATGTTGGAGGTGGGGCCTGGTGGGAGGTGTTTGGTGCATAGGGGCGGGTCTATCCTCATGGTAATGAGTGAGTTCTCACTCTGAATTCACATGAGATCTGATTGTTTGAAGAAGTGTAGCACCCCCCTCCTCTCTCTCTTGCTCCTGCTCTCACCATGTGATACGCCTACTTCCCCTTTGCCTTCTGCCATGATTGTAAGATCCCTGAGGCTCTTTCCAGAAGCAGATGCCAGCACTATGTTTCCTGTACAGCCTGCAGAACTGTGAGCCCAAATAGACTACTTTTCTTTATAAATTACTCAGTCTTACATACTATTTAATAGCAACACAAGAACACACTTTCTTTTCTACCTTGTATCACAGTTCCATCCTGCCTTATAGCATAACTGTCTGTAGCCATATTTTCTCCACTACTAAAGTGTGAGCATGGAGCACAGTGCCTAAATATGAGGTATTCAATAAACAGGTATTGAAGAAACTGTGAATGCATCAATGAATCATTCATTTTTGTATCCCTTGCACCTAGTGCAAGCCTTAAATATAATACAGGCTCAATACATGTTTGTAGTAGGAATTAACTAACAAAAAGGAATAATATCACAGGAAGGCAGACGTCAGTACATACACAAATGGGATCTTAAAATAATCCTTCCTGGTGACTAGAATGATCCATGTGGAAGTAGATAAGAGTTGAAGACATCAGTAAAATCATGTTTCCCTTAATATAGGTACAGATGGCTACATAGACAAATATTTATAGATATGCACATTTCCTTGCTCTGTGAGCTGAAAGGACCTAAATAAAAGCAATGACATCCCAGTAGCAACAAGCACATCTGGCACTAAGATCTTGGTTTCTAAGACCTTTCTCCAATAAAAAGGACAAGGGTTCCTTGGAGAAATGGCTGATACTAAGACTGGAGCAGGAAACTGACAAGATGAGCCAAGATCATCTCATAGTGCCAGAAAGTAAGAAAATGCCACAAAAAAACACAAACAAATAAAAACATCTATAATGATGGGGGCATATCAAAGGAATATAGGAACCAAGTGGAAGAACTTCCAGTGGCCAAAGCTGGAAGAATTTGAAGAACAAAATAAATAACATAGTATTGGACTGTAACCCAAAGTATAAAATAAATATCTATAAGTCCATACTGATACAAATAAATGATTGAATAAATTAATAAATGGAGAGAATAGACAAATCTTCCAGGCAGTAGAATTCCAAATAATTTATGTAGATACTGCCCTCAAAGAGGGCATAACTCCCACTTCTGTGGGTTGCACACAGTGAGACCCTTCCATAGTAAAGGATAAAAGGGGGAAAGAAAGAGTAGCTTTACAGGGTAGCAAACACTCCCTCAAGCCAAGTGATTAAGGTCAACAATAGTGCAAAGTCATATCAATAGTATGTGGCTATCAATATGACTTGATATGTGATGAAAATGGATTTGTACCTCTGAAGTCTTTCTACCAAAAGCCCATAACCATAGCCTAAACATGAAAAAAAATCAGACAAATCCCAACTGAGTGACATTCTATAAAATACCTGGCCAGTTACTCTGCAAAACCATCAAAGTTATCAAAAACAAGGAAAATATGAGAAACTGTCACAAAAGGAACCCAAACAGACATGAAGACTAAATGCAATGTGGAATCCTAGATGGTATCCTAGAATAGAAAAAGGACATTAAGAAAAAATTTTTAAAATCGGAATAAAGTACGGACTTTAGTTAATAATAATATATCATTACTGGTTTGTGGACAAATTGTCACAAATGTACCATAGTAATATAAGATATTAACAATAGGGGAAGCTGAATGTGGGGCACTTAGGAACTCTCTGCTCTCTGTACTGTCTTGGCAGCAATTCTATAAATCTAAAACAAAAATTCTAAAATTAAAACTTTATTAAAAGATAAATAGCCCTTCCCTCAGAAGATCCTGTATACCAAAAGCACACAAAGCAAGCTATTTGTAAGAACAGCCTTTGAAACAAGTGAAGAATATGAAATAATTAATTTAAAGATCCTGAGGGAATATAATCAGCAAGCAACTACACATTCTTTTTAAATGTATAATAAAAGTCTGACTCCTCTGAAAAACTAATGTATACACATGAAGTTCGTAACTATTTCAGGAAGCGTGCTTAACAGCAAGTGGCTAAAAAGGCATTAAAAATTTCTGAAATCCTTAGTACCATAAAGAAAAAAATATTATCCTCAAATCATGAACATCTCACAAAAGTTTCAACGTCTTGGTTAAATCATACTAGGAAGAAGGAAAACAAAACCTAAGGCTGTGGAAGTTTTTTAAAATCACAGCTTAGACTGGCAATGAATAATCCTTAGCACTGTATTCTAAACCCCTTACAATTCTACTTCAACCTACTTTTGTAACCGTATTTTCTACTATTTGCCTATGCAAACTACTCCAAGCCAACTGGCTTGCTCAGTGCTTCCAATATGCCATCCTTGGTATATGATGCTTCTCTGTACTTTTGTCCCCTGTCTACAGTGCCATCCCCCCATCTCTTGCCTTCTAAATCCTACTCCTGCTTGAAGAGTCAGCTAGAACCCTTCTTCTTCCATAAAGTCTCAGATCACCTTAGGTACAATAAGCACTACTTTCTACTTTATCAGACTTCTTGTATCATTAATGTGGCACTCAGCATATTCATTCATTAAAATAAAAACAAAAAAAAAATCTTAGTGTGCCTGGTACCACAAATAGATGTTAGGAAAACTAAAGACAAGTAAGATAATAGTCTCTGCCTTCAAGGTGTTCTCACAAATGTACAGAAGACAAAAAGGTAAACAAGCAATTACTAGACAGAATACAATGCTACAAAGGTGTATATAATGTGCTATGATAATATACTGTACTGTAATTTGCTACAATATTTCCCTTTTAATGTCTAAGTCCTGATTCTCCAATTAAACCAAAGTCCTCTTGAAAGGTTGGTTCTCTATCTTCTACTCAATGCTATACATATATTAGCTAAAAACAATTTTGATGTTACTAAAACCTTCCTTTCTCCCTTACTTTCTTAAGAGAAACAAAGGTAAAAGCCTTGTTCACAGACAGTAGTCTTAAAATAACGAATTAATAGCTTTTTTTAGTAAGTTATCAACCATAACCAACTATTAGTTATTCACAGTAAGGGGAAAGATGGTTAAGAATTCACAAGTAATCACCATTTCATTTAGATTCAAGTGGAACTCTCTATGAGTAACAAACAAAAATAAAGAAAAAGGACTGGTTTGAGATACATCTTTTATCTTCCTGCAGAGGTGCTAGCAATCAGGAACAGATCAAAAGAACAGAAACCAATTTTAAAAGGTGCTTAAGATAAATCTGTAATGTCTTAGGAAAAATGCTTATGATAATATATAAAGTAAAAAAAAAACTGAAAAATGTAGACAAACGTATGTCCATGTGGCATAGGCAGAAAAACACCGGAAATAAAAATCTACTAAACTGTGAATATTCATCTTTAACTCATCTAGGGTTATAGACTGGTTTTTCTTGGTATTTACTTGTATTTCGAATGCTAATAATAATAATTATTATTAATATTTTTTGTTTAAATCCAGCTCTTTGAAGGGAGTGATGGAGAGAAGAGGAGGCGACAAAGAGCGGATGGATGACGAGAGACGACCAACCAAAGACAATGGGTAATCTTCAAAACTGATTAAATAACTCCTCTGGATAAGCATTTTTTTTTCTTGAGACTGAGTCTCACTCTGTTTCCCAGGCTGGAGTGCAGTGGCATGATCTTGGATCACTGCAACCTCCACCTCCCAGGTTCAAACGATTCTCCTCCCTCAGCCTCCTGAGTAGCTGGCATTACAGGTGCGCGCCACCATGCCCAGCTAATTTTTGTATTTTTAGTAGAGACGGGGTTTCACCATGTTGGTCAGGCTTGTCTCAAACTCCTGACCTCATGATCCACCCACCTCAGCCTCCCAGCATGCTCAGATTACAGGCCTGAGCCACCATGCCTGGCCCTGGATAAGCATATTCTTGAACTGCAATGGTTTATACTCAACTCCGTACCTCATTTTCCCAATAGCTGTTTTACAAATTCAATAGAGTAAATCAAAACTGGCAACATCTGCTAAATGTTATATTTGCCATTGGATTTCAAAAAATAACTTGGTTTGCCTTTTTTTATTTGTCTTAGGAGAGTGAATGTTTTTAATATACCTTGTTTGTGCTTTCAAGGTGCTCTGTTTTTCTACAACTGCACTTTTAAAGCCTTGTTTATAACACATGCTTTCAAATTATATGTGTATGCATATGTGTATATATTAATACTCTTCTTAATCTATAATTAGCTATAATAGCAACACCTTTAGAAAACAGATGAAATCATAAATCTTAATTTTGAACCAGGGTTCTTCTACTGTCTTCCTTTAGGAAGTATATTTTTTAAAAAATAACATCAACTTTCTTCCTACTTCATAAAATGTTTCCCTGGCTGATGAAACAGACATAGTAGAAATACAGTAGTTTTTAGTTCATCAACACACAAACCAGTTCTCCACCAAAATTTCTAGTAATTTTCTCATATTCTCTTGGGTCATTTACTGATGATGCATCCTTTGATTACAACTCAAGAGAACCAGAGATGCCATGTTAACAATGCTTTATTTCTACCTTAGGAATATATATATTGGAAGTGAACACCTAGGTTTTCATATAAAAGGAAGAAGTACAGTTATCTTCATTTTAATAATTTGTTATTGAACATTTTATTAATATCAAACATTTTTATTAATTATTGATTAATTTTATTAATTCTGTATTCTTACCAAGGTGTAATACATGTACATTGTATTTTATGATCTGCTGAAGTCTTTTGTACTTTTGCTTTGAAAGTAAATTTTAAAATTATATATTCTCAAAATATAATGGAGAGGACTTCCAGGTGGGACGAAGTAGCTCTGTACAGATCAGCACTCTCAATAAGAACAACTAGAAAGCTAAATAAAATATAGAAATCTATTTGAAGGCATTTGCTATCTATGGAAGAAATGAGAACTGGGAGGCTGAGAATCAAGAGGAGAAAACCTCAAGGAGAGGAGCTGATGTCTGCAGCTGCTCCTACCCTGGGGACATTTGCAAATTTAGGGTACAGGAGGGAGGCTGAGAATCCAGGCTATGCACAGTCACAAAACTGCTGCTGAGGCTTAGAGGAACCATTGGAGCTTTTGGCAGAGTGTTGAGAGACCTCAAACATGCAGCCAGCTCCTCTCAAGACTTTGATGAATTCTGGCGTAGCCCAGGTCAGAAGCTAAAAATTAAGAAAACGCCTCTGAAAAGCAGAGCAAAGCAATCAGCAGTCTTGTAAGACAACATTTAGAATTTGAGATCCACACTGCTTGTGTGTTTAAATATTTGACAAACGACAGAGAATTCTATTCTGAAGTATGTTGTGGGCCAAGGCACTTAGAATTGTTTAGGAACACTGGCCACTCCAATCTCCCAAGTAAAACCCTGAAGAGCACTATCCCAGAACAGAAGTGAACCAGAAGTAAACAGACTCTTACCAAAGCCATAAACTAGCTTCGACTCAGCAAAAACCCTGACTGGATTAAAGTGACCATCCAATCACATCAGCCTATGTCCCTATCAGAGGGGACAGTAAACCCTCTCTCTGGAAGAAGACTGCGTTATCTGGAGCCTCTGTAGTTTTTTAACTGGAATGTCTGACATTCACTCAAAACTACCAGAAACACCAAAAACAGAACCACATGATGGATAACCAAGAAAAAAGCAAACGAAACACACACAGAAAAATCAAAGGATATTCCAGATATTAAAATTAGCTCACATGGACTGGAAAACAAATACAATTAACACAAGCAAGAAAGTGGAGAAAGCCATTTAGATATAGATGAAAAGATAAGTTAACCAGATAATTGGAATTTACAGAAAATAATCAAATAGAATTGTAAAACTGAAGAACATATTCTCTAAAATTAAGAACTCATGAGGGGCCAGGTGCAGTGGCTCACGCCTGTAATCCCAGCACTTTGGGAGGCCGAGGTGGGCAGATCATGAGGTCAGGAGATGGAGACCATCCTGGCTAACATGGTGAAACCCCATCTCTACTAAAAATATAAAAAAACTAGCCAGGTGTGGTGGCGGGCGCCTGTAGTCCCAGCTACTCGGGAGGCTGAGGCAGGAGAATGGCGTGAACCCGGGAGGCGGAGCTTGCAGTGAGCCGAGATTGAGCCACTCCACTCTAGCCTGGGCAACAGAGCAAGACTCCATCTAAGAAAAACAAACAAACAAAAAAGAACTCATGAGGATGGGTTTAATAGGAAAAATAATAAACTGGAAGATAAGTTTGCCATTATCTAGTTGTGCTATTCATTCATTTATTGCCTCTCATCTCCCAAAGCCATTCTGCTTTACCCTGTTTATGAAGCGGGGGCCAGACCCTGTAAACATTTTTCTTCTGCCAGTGGGTGCAGTGTTCAGCTTGTCAACAGAGAGTGATGGAGGAACAGTGCAAGGCACAGCAGAGGGAGGAGCTTCTTATCCTGGTTCTGTGTACTTTCCTCCTTGCTCCCACGGTGCTGCCAGAGCCATGCAGAAGACCTATTAGTGCTCATCCTCCAGCCTGTTTCACTGAAACCAGCCCATTTCCACTTTGCCAGCTCTGGCTTACCAGCACCCAGTAGGCCACCTGCACCAATTCTGGCCCACAGCACCCCAGTGAAGGTCTTCATCTTCCCGTAGCCTGCAGCCACACCCTCTCCAACAAGGAGGTAGGAATCTCAGCTGTGACGGGGTGTGATGGGGGAAAGGGTCTTCAAAGTTTATTCCTCTCCCTTAGCTCTAGAATAGCTGCTCCCTACAACTGCTAGTCTTGCATTCTTTAGAGATCTCCTTTACCCCTTTAGGTAAGTAATTCTCTATATTAAATTTTCCCTATTCAAATTACTGCTATGGTTTCTGTCTCCTGACTGGACCCTAACTGATAAACTAATAAAGTTGAGAAACCTCAAACTGTCCTATCATCTATACTATATGACCCAGCAAGTCCACCCTTCAATACACAGCCATCAGGAATGGATACATGTGCATTAACCAAGACATGTACAAGAATGTTCACAGTAGCAATATTCACAACAGCAAAAAAACTGAAAATAACCTAAGTGTCAATCAATAGTAGAATGGATAAACTGTGGTATGCTCATACAATAGAATACTATCAGCAATGAGCATGAACAACAACCAAAGTAACTACATGGATGACACTCACAAATAAACATTGAGTGAAAGAAGACAAGCACATAGTTTGATTTCATTTGTACGAAGATCAAAGAGAGGCAAAAATAATGATGACATCATAAGTCAGCATAGTGTTTACTCTGAGGCAAGGTGGTCATAGTGATGGAACAGGACATGAGTGAGGCTTCTGGATGTTGGAAATATCATTTCTTGATCTAGGTGCTACTTACACAGGTGTGTTTACCTTTTGGAAATTCACCATGCTATACACGTGATTTATACACTCTTCTGTATAAATGTTATTTGTTAATAATAGTTACCTAAGAGAGATACATTATTCATAAAAAATCAAATAATATGTTTCCAAGTCCCTGGTACTTACCACACATACATGGATATGGTAAAGTGCCCCTCTCCATGTTCCCACAGTACTCTGTACATATACCTCTATCTCCACACTTGTCACCCTGTGCTATAATTCTGCTTATCTGTCTTGAGCACTATGTTCAGCTTCAGGGCTAAGGACAAGTGCTTTACAGGTCTCAAATGAGGCACCAAATGGAGATTTGAAAAATGAGAGAACATTCTATTTTAAAATATGTTGTAGGCCAAGGCACTTAAAAGTGTCTAGGCATCGAGCACCATCCATCGGGATAGCGTTTTTCAAGTGTGTGACATGCAGTCCATTTCAGCTTAGTGCATTCTTTGTATATATTTTGTGTATACTGGGGATGGGAACTATTTTGCAAGGACACATTCAGAAGATGTCCTTCTGTAGGTAGCACAATGAAGAGCACAGGAGGAAAAGTGACAAGGCATTGGTACTCTTACATTCTACGCAAGCAGAACAGTCACTGAAGGACTCATACAACCAGTGACCAATACCTGCAGTAGCATTAGGTTCACTACCCTGAAGATGCTTGTCCCAAACACTAAATTACCCTCAGCTTCCTCAAACCGGGAAGTCAGATAGCAGAGGTTTCCAACCTACTATAATTGCAACATGCTTTTCTCATTTAAATTTATGATCCACCCTTCCTCCTTTATGCAACTTCATTTTAAGTTAAAGTGAATTATCATTATTACCTTGGGGGTAAAGAATTTCATAATATCCTTTGAGGGAGATGAACATACCACAGGGTGTTGCAAAACAAAGGCTGAAAATCATAGTTTCAGAGGTTCTGTTAACTGATTTTATTTTTATCCCTCCAAATTTCTCTAAATTTTTTTTCTACTTTTTAAAATTTTAATCTAAAGTGTATTTTCTAGTCCTGGAAAGCTGCAAGTCCCTTAAGGGATACAGAACCTTAAAGGAAATCTGTTCATCTAACAAACATGTATTGTATACCCCTACATACCAGGCACTCTTCAAATTACCAGGATATAGCAGTGAACAAATTCCACTCTCTCCTGAAGCTGCCAATCCAGTGAAAAGACAAGGATGACTCATTATCCCAGTTTGCCTGGGACTGCCCTTTTTTAACTCTGAATGTCCTGCATCCCAGAAAACCCCTCAGTCCAGGGCAAATCAAGGCAGTTGGTCACCCTGGCAGAGACAGACACCAAACAAGCAACCAAAAATCATCAAATGATGATAAGTGCTTTGAAGAAAACAGACCACAACAAAGATGAGAATGTACTGAGGAGAGTATTGCTATTTTGCATAGGGATGTCAGGGAAAGCCTCTCTGATATAATGACACTTCAAGAAAGGAGAGAACAAGCCATTCAGGTAAGTGCAGGAAGGGTTACAGGTAGAGTAAATAAAAAATGGTCAATAGCAAATGAAAAGGCCCTAAGGTGGGAGTGTGTTTAGAATGTCTGAGGAATGGCAAGGATGCCTCTGTGGCTGGAAAGGGCTGAGCAAGGAGCAAAAGAGCAAAAGAGAAGAAGTTCAAGTTAAAGAAGCAATTGGGTGACAGCTATAGCATAACCTACCCATCACTTAACTTCTTCTAGATTATTTTAATCCCAAAATTCCAACCTACAATAATTTTCCTTTTTTATTACAATGGAGACTCCATCTTAATTTATTGAACATCCTCTCTTCTCACATCACATATTGTACGTGAAAAACAGTATTTAACTACCCCATAGCATTGCTTTTGTTTCAATTATTCCAACATTTTAATTATATACTACCTGTATTTGCTTTTAGATATCTACGTCTTACCTCCCTAAAATTTATTGATGGATTGATTGAGAGACAGGGTACTAGGATTACAAGTCATGAGCCACTGCACCCAGCCACCTCCATAAAATTTAGACTTCTTGAGGTCAAGTTCCATATTGAACAGTGTTCAATGCACAGTATACAAGCAATAAATACTAATGGATGTGACTCTTTGTCTTTTGTTTATTTTTATGCTCAGAATAAAGAACTCTTACAACTGAACAATAAAAGACAATCCAATTTTTAAATGGGCAAAGGATCTGAATAGACATTTCTCCAAAGGATATATACAAATAGCCAATAGGCACATGAAAAGATGCTCAGTATCACCAGCCATCAAAAAAAGCACAAATCAAAACTACAGTGCGATACCACTTCATTTGTGGGTATGAGATACCACTTCATACCCACTAGGATGGCTATAATAAAAAAGACATAATAGCAAGTGTTGCTGAGAATGTGGAGAAACTGAAACACTCATACACTTCTGGTAAGAATGTAAAATGCCACAGCCACTTTTGAAAACAGTTTGGTATTTCCTCAAAAAGTTAAACATAGAGTTACCATTTGACCCTGCAATTCCATTCCTAGAAATATATCCAAGAGAAATAAAAATATCCACACAACAGTAGTTACAATAGCTAAAATACGGCAACAACCTGTAAGTCTATCAACTGATGAATGGATAAATAAAATGCAGTATATGCACACGATGTAATCGTATTTGGCAATAAGAAAATAAAACAGTAATACATGCTTCATTGAAAACAATACGCTAAGTCAAAGAGATCAGTAACAAAGGACAACATATTATATGATTCCATTTATATGTAATGTCCAGAATAGGCAAATCCATAGAGACAAAATGCAGATAAGTTGCTACTTTGGGTGGTGGTGGATCAGGGTGGGAATATAGGGAAGTGACTGCTAATAAGTTTAAGGTTTCTTTTTGGGATTATGACAAGGTTCTAAATTTGTGGTGATAGATGCAAGCTGCACAATTCTGTGAACATACTAAAAACAACTGAATTACACACTTTAGGTGAATTGTACGGCATATAAATTGTCTCAATAAAGCTGTTACTTAAAAAAACTTTTGAACTGTCTCCAGAATGGAAAATAATACTTCACTGGAAATAATGTTAAGCAAAGGCAAACAGCCTTCTGTTGGAAACATTACTATAAAAGATGGATTCAATCAGTAGTTCCCAGTAACAGCTCAGAGAAATCATAAAAATAGCCCAGAGAATTTAATAAGTTCTTGGGCTCCCCAAAGGATATAATTCAGTAGGTCCAGTAATCTGTATTTTTAAAAGGCTTTTCAATTTATTTTAATGTATATCTAGAATTGGGAACCACTGAACCATTAATGTCCTAGCTCAATGATTGTATGAGAGTTTACCTTTGCTATCTATGAGATACCTCTCTATCTAGTATTTTCCATTTATCTGAAAATCTCAAGTTCCTTAATGGAACTCACCTCCCTAAATGAAGAGTCTGAGTTTAGAAAGAGGTGGCCTCATTGGATGGATCACAGCACGTCACATATTCCTATTAACCTTATGTGTGTCCTTTACTTAAGCTACCTCAAATCCTTTTTTTTTCCCCAGAAACGATTTGATTTAAATAAATTGAATAAATAAAAGATTATATATATTACACATATTCTCTAAAACTACATTTCTCAAACTGAGACACATTGAAGAGTCATTTTTTTCTCAAATATTTATAATTTAATATATTTTTGTTTTAAAAATACAGGTATATTACAGAATCAAATATAAAATTTTCATGAATTTTTAAGATAAAACCCAGAAACTTCAAAGAAATTCCACACCTGCCACAGGAACTACTTCAGACTACACTCCCAGGTTCTAAGGGTATATACTCATGCCCTTCTGCAAGGCATACTTCAGGAAAAATCCAAGAAATCTAGGCATTCTGTTTTCCACTCCATGGGTGATGAAATTTGTATTCCCCCTTCATTCAGAACCATATGTAGACTAGTCAGGTTATTAATGATTGTGCTCTGAGCACTACAGGAAGGGGAAAAATGTCTGAACTGAATCCAAGAATTAAACCAAAATCTGTTAACAAGTGAGTGAAAAATCTTTCAGAGACAAGCTACACTCAGAGAAATGTCTGCTGGGGATCAGGCCTTGTAGTTAACCTGTCTGGTGTTTTAATCAGACAACAATAACCATCAAGAGCAACCTTCAGAACTATTTGGACATCGCCCAACTAGTGGAGGGTATGCTCTGGTTGCTTATCTGGGCTTGCTCAGCCCGCTGATCCATGAAGAAGCCCTGGGTAGTCTACCCAAGGCCGTAGATGAACTATCACTAAGGAGAAGGTGTTCCCCTAGATTTGCAATCTTTCACTTAGATCTAGTGCTTTGATTTTTTCGGCTATTCTTTTTCAGCTATATTCTCAAAACATTTGTGATAACTTCACTCAGGGACTAAACATCTTAAGAGTGGTGTTATAATATCAGGTCTGACACAGAATTATATAAATCTAGGTCAATTTCCTCAATATTAAAATGGAAGATTAGAATAAAATGAATCTTAAGATCCTTTCTAGCATTTAAATTCTACACTTACACAATACTTGCCAAATATTAAAGATATGTGCTATGAATTTTAAATGCAATTTCAAAAAAAAAGAAGTTGTAAACATGACTTTTTTATTCTTTCCATTATGCTGTTTCTTCTTGCATCACCCTAGCTCAAAGCCCTTTCTCCCTCCACTGAATTTTTACAACTATCCTCAATTCTGGTCTTCGATCTCTCCTTATTCCATTATATTGACCACACTGCTATTAGATGATTCTCCCTTCATCATTTCCTTCAATGGCTCCTAGCCCAGCATTCAATGTGCCCCACAGTCTTCTCCCAATTTACCTTTCTAACCTTGTTGATCCCTTCCTTATATTGACTTACATTTCAGCAAACCTGTCAGTGCCTTCTGAAATACATTAGACAAATCCTAGCTACTTCCAATGTGCTTATGTCATTCCCCCAATGTGCTTATGTCATTCCCCCACCTGAAATACTCTTTGTCATACCTCCCACTTTTGTTCCATTCTTCAAGAATGAGTACAAGTCTCGCCTCAACTACAAAGCTTTTTCTGACCACCTTTAAATTCCTGAGGCACTTAGCCTGGAATACATCTTTGGCATCCAGCATATGCCACCCTCCTCTGGGCAGACTTAATACAGAAGAAGTCTGTGGTGAAATCTCTGTGTCATTTTTTTTTCCAGGTTTAAGACTCTCAGCTTTAATATGGGGTGAATACGTAACACACAGCATCTAAAGGGGCCATATTGAACTCAGATTTTTTTAATTAAAAAAATTACAGCTGATGTTCAATTATTAGAAACTTCACCACGAATCCACCTTACTCTTGCCAACAATATTTTTACAGCTATGTTCTAATGTTTAAGACAATACTTTAGGTTTGGGTTACTACTTCCTGTTTAATACCTTTAAAGGGTGGAAGCAGGGCAAGAGTTCAAAGTAAGTCATCAAAACTTTTAACAATAAAACTTGAATAAGACAAAAAATTTCCAGGAAACGAAACTAAGAGTATAGTTTTGAACAACTATAAAACCTCTTCTAGTATAGGTATCATACCAAACTCAAATTTGAGAAGAAATAAAAAGAGACATTTTGTCTGGTCAGAACCATTTAAACAAAATGGCATGTGTTTTTCTCCATCCACCATGCAAAACACACAACTTTTTTAGTAAGTACGTATGCTTACTAAAGCATATGTGCTCCAACAAGTACCACCACCCTTTCCCTAATGGTGAATATTTCTGCTTTAATTCCAGAAACATTTTATTTCAACTACAAAGTTTCTGGTGTTGCTTGATAAAGAACACTTAATCTGGTCTTTACCCTTCTGATAACAATACTGAGATACTGAGATAATGCGGATACAAGTCCAAATTTGCCACTTTCACTTCTATATAAAAACGGCTCCTTGAAGAGCCAAGAAACACTCTCCTAACGAGCCCTGTAATGAAGTGTTAGTAAACATTAGAAAATTGATTGCAGGCATGATATATTATGTTAAAACAAAGAAAATATTTTCAACATGTCTCTTTAAACTGAAGTAAAAATATTTCAACCAATATGCTAGAGACTTTCATTAATTCGAAATACCCTGAAACTAAACAGCAATGAAAAAAACCTCTTATTTAACTACTATGGCACATAAAGAGTTCCATCTATTTCACAGGACAGAGAAAAGAGGGGTGGGAAAAAAATGCAGATGTGTGACAAATCTATCTGTTAAGCAACTGCTGAAAGCCAATTTTGTTTTCCTTTCACCAAAGAAAGATCATTCAAGCAAGTCTGCAGTACTCACCTGCAAAGCTGAGGGGTCTGGCAGGAATTCAGCATCTTCTCCAAAGATAAAATCGGGAGGCAGTTCTGGGTATTGGGCATTGAAAATGATATCCCCTGAAATAAAAGAAAATGACAGGTCCTTTTTATTTCCTTTCTAAGTATGAATATTCTGAAGACTGTATCAGAAAAACTTCTAAAAGAAATTTACATTAGTTTAAGAAAACCATTTGAAAAGCACTTTCCAGATGATTAATTCTTCAAATAAACTGATATCTTTTTTTTTTTTTTTTTTGAGACAGGGTCTCACTTTGTCATCCAGACTGGAGTGCAACGGTGTCATCTTGACTCACTGCAGCCTCGACCTCCCAGGCTCAAGCAATTCTCCCATCTCAGCCCCCCAAGGAGCTGAGCCTACAGGAACATGTCACCATGCCCAGATAATTTTTGTATTTTTATTAGAGATGGGGTTTCGCCATGTTGTGCAGGCTGGTCTCGAACTCCTGAGCTCAAGCGATCAACCCACCTCAGCCTCCCAAAGTGCTGGGATTATAGGTGTGAGCCACTATCCCAGGCCTGCTATCCTTTTTCAATTTAACATCCACAACAAGCAATCAAAAAAGCTTTATCTCCAAGTACACTGTGAATGTAAATATCCAAGGAGAAAAGTAGAAGCAGCCACATCCAAAATATGTACTGATTATTTTTACAGGTAACATTACTGTCCAATCACTGCCTGCTAATTAATTAGTAAGCCTTTACGAAGACTGATTCTGTATAGACACAGTCTTTGCCTTGCAGAAATTAAACATACATACTTTTGTATAATGGAAAGAACATATGGCTTATAGTTCACAAAAACTTAGATTTATATCCACAAGGTCTCCTCATTATTTATTAGCTCAAGTGATCTTGAGCAAGTTTTAACTTCTTTAGACTTCAGTTTCTTCATCAGTAAGAAGTAGATATAATAGTACTAATGTCACAGATTTATTGTGACGATAAAAAGAGATGGCATGCCTAGCAGTGTCCAGCATATAGTAAGTTCTCAACATGTGATAATGGAAGTATTACTTTTGTTTTGAAACATAAGACAAATTTACAAAGTCTCATTAGCAAATTTAGATTGCAAGTTCTTCTACCTGTTTCTTTTCTGAATTCTTCTGTAGCTCCCTTTTTTCCTCTGCTCATCCCAAGAATCAGCTCTTATCATTATG
Organism: Homo sapiens; assembly: GCF_000001405.40. Lineage (NCBI taxonomy): Eukaryota > Metazoa > Chordata > Mammalia > Primates > Hominidae > Homo > Homo sapiens. The sequence goes on along the minus strand of NC_000002.12, from coordinate 27,986,892 downwards.
CTAATACTAACAAGTAGATTAGTTTATCGACAATCTAACACACATATTGAGTTGTAATGTATAAAAATATGTATACTTGTGTACATGTATACCACCTCTGTACACATACATACATAACAGCTTTATCAATCCAATCATTTTTACTGCTCAAACAGTATCTATAAAATTTTATCCAAATGTAAACATTTAAACTTCAGTTCTCATTTGAGTCCTTAAATATCTATGTACTAGGCATTTCAATGTCAAACTCAGCAAGACTAAAACATGATGATGACTCTCCCTTTTCTCACTCCTCTCGTTCCCTGATTCCATGCTAAAACTTCAGTGTCATCTTCAACCTTTCATACACCCTGTATACTCTTAGAAAATAAGTCATCTCAATTTTTCCTCCAAAATGTCACTCATATGGATTTTTCCTACTGTTAACAGCCCCTTCCAGGCCCAGATCACCTAGTCCATACATTCACTCATCCACCGAATAAATATTTGAACTTTGCCATAGCCACTATGATAGGCATTAAAGATCAAACAAAAAAAAAACCCTGCTATTAAAAGCTGACAGACTAAAGAAACTCAATCATTATCATACCTTTTAAAATGATCTCCTAATACTAGCTGCCCTCCAGTCCATAATACATATTATCACCAAGTAAATATTCTTAATGTGCTATTTTGTCCCAAAACTTCCTAACTCAAGAAACTTAAATGAGTCTCTAATATCAAATGGAGTAAAAGCAAACTTTTCAAACTGATATCCACCCTTCTCTTTATCTACAAGCCTGTCTTTTCTTCCAGTCAATATGATCTGCTCAATGCCCTCCAAATACTATGACATCAAATACTATATCTCTCTCCTTGCTCAGTTCTTACCATCCTTTATGAGCCCACTAAATTGTCTCTTGTATGAAGCCTACCCTAATAAATCCAGAACACACAGATCATTGTTACTTCTGAAATTAAAATCCTGACTAATTACGCCATTCACTTTAGTATTTAGTTGTAAGTAGTCTTATATTGTTTTATTGCTCTATTAATTTTAAAAAATCATAATAAACACAAGCTACCTGTGAGATACTGTGACACGCTGTGTCAATACAAAGATATTTATTCTCAAGGAGCTCATGTTTAGTGAGGGATATAAGACATAGACCCAGAGCCACAAATACACAGCGGTACAAGGTGAGTACATATAATTGATCTTCCTAATTAAATTGTAAGCATCCACAGAACAGACATGTTTTTATACTTATTTAATGTTTCTGACAGGGGAAAGTACAGCACAAATAGAATATATTCAATAAACACTCAATAAATTAAAGAAATTCTATTCTCTGAACTGAACGTCTAAGTGCTGAAAAAAATCTTCAGTGAAGAATAAGGCATAGCAACAAACATATGAAAAAATGCTCAACATCACCCATTATCAGGGAAATGCAAATCAAAACCACAATACGATTACCACCTTACTCATGCAAGAATGGCCATAATCAAAAAAATATTAATAATAGATGTTGGCGCAGATGTGGTGAAAGGGGACACTTTTACACTGCTGGTGGGAATGTAAACTTGTACAACCACTATGGAAAACAGTGTGGAGATTCCTTAAAGAACTAAAAGTAGAAATACCATTTGATCCACAATCCCACCACTGGGTATCTACCTGGAGGAAAAGGAGTCATTATACAAAAAAGATACTTGCACACGCATGCTTATAGCAGCACAATTCACAATTGCAAAACTATGGAACCAGCCCAAATGCCCATCAGTCAACAAGCGGATAAAGAAATCGTAGCTACACACACACACACACACACACACACACACACACACACACATCATGGAATACTACTAAGCCATAAAAAGAAACAAAATAATGGCATTTGCAGCAACCTGGATGGAATTGGAGACGATTATTCTAAGTGAAGTAACTCAGGAATGGAAAACCAAACATTGTATGCTCTCACACATAAGTGGGAGCTAAGCTTTGAAGATGCAAAGGCGTAAGAATGACTTAATGGACTTTGGGGACTCGAGGGAAAGGGTGGGAGGAGGTGAGGGATAAAAGACTACACACTGAGTACAGTCTACACTACTCTGGTGATGGGTGCACCTAAATCTCAGAAATCACCGCTAAAGAATTTATTCATGTAACCAAACACCACCTGTTCCCCAAAAACCTACTGGAATAAAAAATAAAAATAAAATAAAATGTGAGAAATGCAACACACAAAAAAAACTAAAAATAAAATATATTTTTATTTAAAAAAAGAAGAAGAAGTCATAGCAAAGTCACTCCTGGAGCTTCTGTAGGGAAGAAATTTAAACAAGAAAATGTATCCTTCAGAAGACAGGTATAAAATTAAATTATCAAAAGTAGTACAACCACCTCCTCTCACCCTAGCCACTATCATCATCTCAGATGATCAATTGTATCTATGATAAATCATAAAATTCAAAAGTGCTAACTATAAGGCATTAACTCAAGCCTTGGCTAAAAAGCACAAGTAGAGATAATATGAATGTCCTGATTACTCATTCTTTCAAATATACACAGCAAGCATATTCTTTAGGAAGGAACATACTTTAGAGATGTGTTTTTAAAAGTCCTATAGTTGGCTTACTTTAGTTACTTTAGGAAAAAAAATCAAAAAGTTAACAGAGCAAAGATATCAAAGTTTTGAAAAATGCCAATCTAGGATCTATTGTCCCTTGACATTCTAAAAATAAATAACATGCTAAATTCCAATAAAAGAAATTTTATCACTTTTGCTGCTATAGAAGAATGGCTGCATTTTCAAGTTCACAAAGGAACACTGCTAGTAATAAATATTTCCAAACTGGTAAACATTGAAAAAATCTACTTAAAGGAATATCCATTCTGGTTGATTCTATTCAACATTATACTGGAGGCTCTAGCAAGAACAATTTGGCAAAAAAAAAAAAAAAAAAAGGTACAAAATGTATCTACATTGGAAAAAAGCAAAACTATCTCTATCTACAGATGACATAAATCTTGCATGTAAAAAATCCCAATGAATCCACACAAACAATGAGAACTAATAAACAGCTTCAGCAAGGTTGCAAGATACAAGATAAATGTACAAAAATCAACCGCATTTCTGTACAACAGTAATTAACGATCCAAAAATAATTTTTTAAAATTCCATTTACAATGAGATCAAAAAGAACAAAATACTTAGGAATAAACTTAACAAAAGAAGTATAAGAAATGTACACTAGCAACTACACAACATTGTTTGAAGAAATTAAAAAAGGCCTAAATAAATGGAAAGACATCTCATGTTTGTCAACTAGAAGACTTACTATTGTTAAAATGGCAACACAACCCAAGTTGATCTGTAGATCCCATGCAATCCCTACCAAAGCCCTAGCTGGACTCTTTGCAGAAATTGACAAGCCAATCCTAAAAATCATATGAAAATGGAAGGGATGCAAATAGCCAAAGAAATATTTAAAAATAATTTGCAGGCGTTCTCAATTATAAAAGTTGTTACAAAGCTACAGCAATGAAGACAATGTGGTGCTGGAATATGGATAGGAATACAGATCAATGGAACAGAATTCAGAGTCCATAAATAAACCTTCAAATTTATGGCCTACTGATTTTTGACAAGGGTGCCAACACAATTCAATGGGGCAAAAAAGTATTTTCATCATCTCACACTCATTAGAAGAGCTACTATCAAACAAAAAAATAACAAGGGTGGGTGAGAACATGAAGAAATTGGAACCCCTTGGAAGTGCTGGTGGGAATGTAAAATGGTACAGCCACTATAGGAAACACAGTGGTAATTCCACACAAAAAAATTAAAAATTAACATATGATCCAGAAATCTACTTCTGAGAATATACCCTAAGTAGCTAAAAGGAGATTATCAGAGATATTTGCACACATCTGTTCACAGCAACATGATTCACAATAGCCAAAGAGTAGAAGCAACCCAATTGTCCACAAACAGATGAATGGATAAACCAAATGTGACATATATGTGTGTGTGTGTGTGTGTGTGTGTGTGTGTGTGTGTGTACACATAATGAAATATTATTCAGCCTTAAAAGGAGAAAAATTTTAAAACATGCTACAACATGAATGAATATTGACGACATCAAGTAAAATAGTCACAAAAAGACAAATACTATAATGACTCCACTTATACGAAACACCTGAAGTAGTGTGTTTCATAAAAGTACACTACTGAAGTGTACACTTAAAAATGGTTAATATGGTAAATTTTGTTAAGTATATTTTATCCCAATTAAATGGGTTTTTTAAGCATCTTTTCAACAAATGGTGATGGGACAACTGGAAAGCCACAGGCAAAAGAATGAAGTTGGGCCCCTACCTCATATCATGCAAAAATTAACTCAAAATGAATCAAAGACCTAAGTGTAACAGCAAAAAACTACAAGATTCTTCAAGGAAACATAAGAATAAATCTTTATAACTTTGGGCTAGGCAATGCTTTCTCAGACATGAAACCAAAATCAAGCAACAACAACAAAAATAGATAAATTAAACTTCATCAAAATTAAAAATTTTGGCCTTCAAATGAGACTATCTAGAAAGTGAAGACAATCCACAGGGAGATAATTTTGCAAATCACATAGCTAATAAAGGACTTGTACCCAGAACAAAGAAATCTCACAAGTCAACAATATAAAGGCAAATACCCCAATTTTAAAAGGGCAAAGGGTCTGAACAGGTATTTCTCCAAGAAGATATACAAATGTCAAATAAATACATAGAAAGATGTTCAAGATCATTAGCCAACAGGGAAGTGCAATCAAAATCACAGTAAGATAGCTCTTAATTACCCACTTGGATGGCTATAATCAAAAAGACATATAATAATAAGTGTTTATGAAAATATGAAGAAACTGGAACACTTATACACTGCTGGTGTGAATGCAAAATGGTGCAGTCACTTTTGAAAACAGTCTGGCAGTTCCTCAAGAGGTTAAACATAGAGCTACCATCTGACCCTACAAATCCACTCGTAGGTATACATATACCCAACAGAAGTGAAGACATGTCCACACAAAAACTTGCACATTGTTTGTACCAGCATTATGCACAATCGCCAAAAAGTGGAAACAACTAATGTCCGTCAACTGATGAATGAATAAATTGTGACATTATACATGTAATGGAATATTATTCAAATTTGAAAGAAAGTACTGATATAATGCTCCAATGTGGATAAACCTTGAAAACATTAAGCTAAGTGAAATGAGCCAGACACAAAAGGCTACTTATTGTATTATTATTGTATGAATCTATTTATATGAAATGTCTAGAATATGAAAATTCATAGAGACAGAAAGTAGATTAATGGTTGCCAGACAATGGGGAACAGGAGAATGGGAAGCGACTGCTAACTGGTACAAGCTTTCTTTTTGTGATGATAAATATTTTCTGAAATTAGTGATGGTTGTACAACTTTGTGACTATATTTGTAAAAAGCCACTGAATTGTATACTTTAGAGGGTAAACTGCACGGTATGTAATTGTATCTCAATAAAGCTGTTTTTATTTTTAATCTCATGCAAAAAATTGTCCCACTTTAAAAAAACCTGATCTTAAATAAATTACAAAGTGTTTACTGAATAGTTGTGACACAGTTACTTTTATAAATAAAATCATATTAAAAATGCAATGTGAAGAGTTTCTGCATTTAAAAGAACTCTGCAATGAGCCCTTTATAAAAGTAAAGAATGCTTTTTAAGATAAATACTTGCAAAGATCTTTATTTTTAAGGAACTTTACAAAATGTGTCTTTTTAATGGACACGACTGGATAATGTTAAAGACAGACTTTTTAAATTTTTAACTATTATAGATATATAATGCTGTACTTATTTATGGGGTATATGTGATATTTTCATACAAGCACATAATGTATAAAAATCAAATTAAGGAAATTGAGATATCCATCACCCCAAGCACTTATCATTTCTTTGTGTTAAGAAAATTCCAATTCCACTCTTTATTTTGAAATACACAATAAATTACTGTTAACTATACTCACCCTATTGTGCTGCCAAACACTAGATCTTATTACTTCTACAGCTGATTTTTCAATAAATTTTAAGGCAACCAACCAGTATTTGAATATATAATAAAGTTTTTTTTTTTTAAGGAAAAGATATGTACTAAAAGGGGAGGAAGTTTACTACATTACATGTAATAAAAACATTATATAAATATTTTTCAAAACAAAGAAGTAACTTAAAATAGCTTTCAGAATCTCACATAGTTATGTTCCAGAATTTCTCAGGCTCCTACCTTCAACCTCAGAGAACTGTGAAACACTTTGCCTCAATACTGTACAGCCTCTTTGAAATAAACTGTGGCATTGTTCTCTTGCTATGCAGAACAGTCAGTAAATCAGTCAAGAACATTTATTAAAAACCCACAACGCACAGATGTGCATACTGGACACCTGGGGAGTTATACAGGAAGTAGAAAACATAGTACCTGACCTCAAGGCAGAGACAGTAGAGAAAAGACCAACACAAATCATATAGAAGAGCAATAACATCACATTTCCTTTATTTCACCCTGGAGCAGATGATATGAACACAGAGTACAGATTACCTGGACACTGCTTACTCCAACTTTTCATAAAATGGAAGAGTATGCAGGAGAACAAAGAAATAAAAGCAGGATCAGAGGTGCTATAAGGCGAGGTTTAAAAAAAAGGAAGAAGTGTTACAACCACCTAACAACAAAATAAGAGTTTCAAGTCTTATTTTTCATTACTCCCTGAAACTTGCCAGGCTATAACAGTGGGAGCAATGGGGGCAGAAGTTCCTTCCTTTCAAAATGCACATCAACAGTGCTTTATAATATGACACATACATGAAATCACAGAAATGTTAAATACAAAGTAGATTTTATTTACACGCTTGTGCCTTAGCAGCTGACAATTTTTAGAAGGTATCAGCACCATCTCAGGAAGGCTCACTTACCAGATATGCAGAGTGGACCATATCTCCTACTCCCTAATTACAGAAGGAACACAGCCTGTCCACAGGATACTTGCCTTATTCCTCACCAGTGAAATATTATCATACTATTTTGTCTATCAGTTTCAATAACTGCCAGGAAAACATAGTTTCTAAGAAACAATTCAATACTAATACAACTAATACAATCACTAATCATTAGAGAAATACACATCAAAACCACGAGATACCATCTAACATCAGTCAGAATGGCTATTACTAAAAAGTCAAAAAATAACAAAATGCTGGTGAGGCTGCACAGAAAAGGAAATGCTTACACACTGTTGGTGGGAACATAAACTAGTTCAGCCACTGTGGAAAGCAGTTTGGAGATTTCTCAAAGAACTTAAAATAGAGCTACCATTCAACCCTGCAATCCCATTACTGTGTATATACCCAAAAGAATATAAATCATTCTATGAAAAAAACACATATACTCATATGTTCATTGCAGCACTATTCACAATAGCAAAGACTTGGAATCATCCTAGATGCCCATCAAGAGTGAATCTGATAAAGAAAATGTACATAGGCCAGGCGCAGTGGCTCACACCTGTAATCTCAGCACTTTGTGAGGCTGAGGCAGATGGATCACCTGAGGTGAGGAGTTCGAGACCAGCCTGGTTAACATGGCGAAACCACGTCTCTACTAAACAAAAAAATACAAAAATTGGCTGGGCATGGTGGCGCATGCCTGTAGTCTCAGCTACTTGGGAGGCTAAGGCAGGAGAATTGCTTGAAT